>NC_000003.12:110675270-110978301 GCF_000001405.40 Homo sapiens
AAAAAAAGGGAGTTTTAGACCAATAGCCCTGATGAACATCGATGCAAAAATCCTCAATAAAATACTGGCAAACCGAATCCAGCAGCACATCAAAAAGCTTATCCACCATGATCACATTGGCTTCTTCCCTGGGATGCAAGGCTGGTTCAACATATGCAAATCAATAAATGTAATCCATCACATAAGCAGAACCTATGACAAAAACCACATGATTATCTCAATAGATGCAGAAAAGGCCTTCGACAAAATTCAACAGCACTTCATGCTAAAAACTCCCAATAAACTAGGTATGGATGAAACGAATCTCAAAATAATAAGGGCTATTTATGACAAACCCACAGCCAATATCACACTGAATGGGCAAAAGCTGGAAGCATTCCCTTGGAAAACCAGCACAAGACAAGGATGTCCTCTCTCACCACTCCTACTCAACATAGTATTGGAAGTTCTAGCCAGGGCAATTAGGCAAGAAAAAGAAATAAAGGGTATTTAATTAGGAAAAGAGGAAGTCAAATTGTCTTTGTTTACAGATGACATGATTGTATATTTAGAAAACCCCATCGTCTCAGCCCAAAATTTCCTTAAGCTGATAAGCAACTTCAGCAGTCTCAGGATGCAAAATCAGTGTGCAAAAATCACAAGCATTCTTATACACCAATAACAGACAGAGAGCCAAATCATGAGTGAACTCCCATTCACAATTGCTTCAAAGAGAATAAAATACCTAGGAATCCAACTTACAAGGGATGTGAAGGACCTCTTCAAGGAGAACTACAGACCACTGCTCAACAAAATAAAGAGGACACAAACAATTGGAAGAACATTCCATGCTCATGGATAGGAAGAATCAATATAGTAAAAATGGTCATACTGCCCAAAGTAATTTATAGATTCAATGCTATTCCCATCAAGCTACCATTGACTTTCTTCACAGAATTGGAAAAAACTACTTAAAAGTTCATATGGAACCAAAAAGGAGCCTGCATAGACAAGAGAATCCTAAGCCAAAAGAACAAAGCTGGAGGCATCATTCTACCTGACTTCAAACTATTCTACAAGGCTACAGTAACCAAAAGAGCATGGTACTAGTACCATGACAGATATATGGACCAACGGAACAGAACAGTGGGCTCAGAAATAACACCACACATCTACCACCATCTGATCTTTGACAAACCTGACAAAAACAAGCAATGGGGAAAGGATTCCCTATTTAATAAATGGTGCTGGGAAAAATTGACAAATGGGATCTAATCAAACTAAAGAGCTTCTGCACAGCAAAAGAAATTATCCAGAGTAAATAGACAACCTACAGAATGGGAGAAAATATTTACAAACTACACATCTGACAAATGTTTAGTATCCAGAACCTACAAGGAACTTAAACAAATGTGCAAGCAAAAGCAATAAAAAACAACCTCGTTAAAAAATGGCCAATGACATGAGTGGATTATTTTCAAAAGAAAACATATAAGGCCAACAAGCATATTAAAAAATGTCCAATATTGCTAATCATTAGATGAATGCCAGTCAAAAAGCCAAAGAGATATCATCTCACACCAGTCAAAATGGCTATTGTTAAAAACTAGAAAAATAACAGATGATGGCGAGGTTGCAGGAAAAAAGGAATGGTTATACGCTGTGGGTAGGAGTGTAAATTAGTTCAACCATTGTGGAAAGCAGTGTGGTGATTCCTCAAAGAGCCACCATTTGACTCAATAATCCCATTACTGGGTATATATCCAAAGGAATCATTCTACCATAAAGACATATGCACATGTATGTTCATTGCAGCACTATTCACAGTAGCAAAGATATGGAATCAACCTAAATGCCCATTAACAACGAACTGGATAAAGACAATGTGGTACATATACACTGTGGAATACTATGCAGTCATAAAAAGAAAGAGATTGTGTGATTTGCAGAAACATGGATGGAACTAGAGGCCATTATCCTTAGCAAATCAACACAGGAACTGAAAACCAAATACTGCATGTTCTCACTCATAAGTGGGAGCTAAATAATGAGAACACATGTACACAAAGAGGGGAACAACAGACACTGGGGCCTACTTGAGGATGAAGGTGGGAGGAGGGAGAGGTTCAGAAAAAAAACAAGCAACTATCGGATACCATGTTTACAGTACCTGGGTGACTAATCTGTACAACAAACTCCCGAGTCATTAGTTTACCTATATAACAAACCTGCACATGTATTCCTAAATGTAAAATAAAAGTTAAAATGTTTTTAAAAATCAATGACTAAGGAAAGAAAAAAAAAGAAAAGAAAAATACTTCAGGCTGGGCTACAGCGTAAGGAGACATCCTATGGGAAGAAAGGTCTCAGCCTCTGGCTTTCTCAGCAGGGCCTCAGACATACAGATGAGGACATATTAGGCCCAGTTGATCCCCTACGTAAATAAAAAGCATGAGGGATGCCAGGCAAGAGCAGCATGAGCATTCCACAGCCAGACCACACAATTGTGAGACTTAATAAATCATTGCTTTAAGCCACTAAGTTTTGGGATGGTTTATTAACCAATACAGGGGATTAAGTTAGTCCAAAAATAAGTTCGGCTCTTGTTGCTCTAGCCCTCACAAATCATTTATTAAAAGTGCTTCTCAAAGCTTAATCATGGTGAGAATAGTTAGCCCCCTAAATTAGTGCATGTTTATGTTTATAGATTAATTGACATCCTTGTTTAGTATCAGATACAGACAAGATCTTAGATACTACTCTTATCCATAGTTAATAAAGAAATAATGTTCTATATTGATTACCTTGCCTGAAAGAATCAGTCTATTGCTTAGAATCATGTTGCAGCTTTGATGAAAACTATTTTTTCCTTTGAAACACCAATGTCAGATAGTGCCACATCCCTCCAATGGAGGAAAGGAAGACTCCTTATCCTTCTAAATCCTATCCTAAGCCTAAAATATTTGACTCACACTCCAGGGGTCTCAAAATTTAAAACCTTTACAATAAAGTCATGCTTCCTGAGAAAGACAACAAATATCAGTGGAAAAAAAAAAAGAAAAAAAACACCTTGTATTGAGTCTAATTTACAATCCACTCACACTTGAACTGCCAGTGTCATTCAGTTAAGAACTAAACACGACCTTGAAGGGTGGCTGGTTCAGTGTTTTCAAATACTGTTTTTAATCCAGAGTTATTTTCTTTTCTTCCCATATGCCTTATTTTTCCCCAAATCAAAAGAGTTAAGGAATTTCCTACCTTAATAATGACTTAGTTAAGAAGTATTAGAGTTAGAGGATAATTTTATTTTATTTTTTACAATGACGTGCTGGTAAATGTTTAAAACCAATTCTCTGTAAAAAAGAAATGTGTGCAGATACATATATATGTAATTTTACTATAAATTTTCATGATATAAAATATGTGTAGCACACAATTTATAAGACACAGTAAAATATAAGAATATTTATTATAAATTCTGTGTAGCCAATGATTCTCCTGAAAAACATTCATTAATATTTGTCAAAGATTTTTTTTATATGTAGCCAACTTATGGTACAAACCAACCATGATTTGCCAAATGGAATTGTGTTCCAATCCAGTAACTCTTTTCTCAAAAAATTTATTATCATTTAATGTGATATATGACTAAACTAGTTCTCTCACTTTTGTGCAAATTATATCCAGTAAATTGAAACTTCTTTTATTTTCAGCACAAGACATGACATACGTTTAAGTTTAATCTTCATTATTTACATTTACTTATTACTTTCTTCAGTCTAGATAATCAACAAAACAATAAACCAAACCCTTATTATAGTATTTGCAGATTTCTATGGTACATGCTACAGTTTAAATGTGTCCTCTAAAGACCATGTGTTAGAAATTTAAGCTAGACCTAAGCAGAAAGGAACAGGACAAAGAAATTAAATTTGGAGAAGGAATATTCACAGCCTTGTATGTATATGAAATTTTTCTTTACCTTAATCTCTTATATTCCTATTCCCTTGCTCTACTCTTTAAGGATACTGTTCTCCCTCCACGTGATCAGATAAAAACTCTCCCAATTTTTTACTCAGGCTCCAGGACTGAGGCAGTTGAGATGAATGACTTTTAAACTCTAGCACTGCAGTGATACTCAGGAGTACTTCTAAAGCACTCGTTAACACATCAGGTTAATATCCCATTTGGCTGCTAAAGTATGCAGAAAATGCTCTTCTGTATTTACTGTGTAGACTCTCAAACCCTCATTAAGAGTGCACATATTCAAGATTGAATTTTCACACTTGACTCTGGCCAAGCTTCTGAGTGATAAGCACTGATTTCTTTTATTTCCTTGACTTTATTTGGCTACAAGCATGTGGTTTCTCTGGAACCTTCTTTGAACCCAAAATGCTTTCTCTGCTTGAATGTATTTATGGTCTTTGCCTTAATTTTCTGTATTTTAGTCTCTATGGGTCTTTCTAGTCTTCCTCCTTAGAATATAATCTCTTTGAGAGGACGAATGGTGTTTTATTCTTCTTCATATTCTCTGAAGACACAGTGCCTTGCAAGACTCACAGCTGATGTCTTGTAAGGTATCTTATACCATCTATGCAAGGCAAGGCCCAAGGTCTTTGTCTTCTATTTTAGAAATGCGCAAGACTGAAGAACACCAGACTCATTATCCCCAATTATATCTAGGTAAAAATCAAATAGACATCAAGCAAATACACCTTATTCTTACTCAAAGGACTCTTCCCCTTAATAAATAGTCTTCTTTATTTGAAAAAAGAAAAAAATAAAGCTCAGTATCAGGAACCAGAAAACTCTAGCTGGTCAGTCCTGGGTGTCAAAAACAAAGTTAATAGAAAGTATAAATCACTTTTAGTCATAAATTGAAGAGAGTAATTTTTTTTAAAACCTTACATGATAAATAGCATCGTCATTGAGTTCAGGAGTTATCTGAGAGATTTTACCTTTTCTCTTTCATCTTGTATTTTTAAAAACAGGGGGGTGGGGTGCTTTCTAAACACGCTTGTCTATTATATGAAGTGCTGAGGATACAAACACTAGTAAAATACTGACTCTATCTTTAAAGAGCCACAGTCAAATGGAAAAACAGACCTGTATCCTTGATTAGGAAAGAACCACCAATATTTCTGTGTCAATCCAGAAGAAAAGCTTCCAGAATTTATTATCCATTTATTCTGTGCCAGACATGGCTAGCTAGGTTTTTGTATATGTTTGCTCACTTGCTACTATGCTTATTGTGCGCTGCACCGACTATGTTAGCTTACGTGGCTGTGCGGCTTATACCTACTATACCTCCTCTATGTAATTTATACCTCAACAAACAATCCTAAGTGAGAAAATATTTGAAGGGCGGTCTAATGCTTTTTCAATCCTACTCTATCAGAAGTATGACATAATGAATTAGTCAGCTTTTGCTACTACAATAATCTTGCATACCAAATTTAGTGACTTACAAAAGTATTTACTTTTCTCTCCAATGAGTCTGCAAGTTGGCTGGGCCATCTCTGTGTAAGGCTGAAGACTGGATTTTCAAGACTTCCTCAAACATATTCTTTCTGGATTTTTCTAGTCTGAAGGGAAAATGGCTTCTTGGGGGATGCTATTTAAAATGACCATTCATTTACAGGAGCATAAGGATTAGCTCTAAGGCCTCTTGTGGTCATAGCTTGCAACTGGCACAGTAACTTATCTGCCCTCATTCCACACCAAATTGATTCACATGATGAAGCCCAGATCAATGGGTAGGAAGCATATGCCCTTCACTCACCCATGGCAAGACCACATGGCAGAAGAGACTGAAGAATGGAAAACAATTTACCACACGTGAGGCCGGGCGCGGTGGCTCACGCCTGTAATCCCAGCACTTTGGAAGGCCGAAGTGGGCAGATCATGAGGTCAGGAGATCAAGACCATCCTGCCTAACATGGTGAAACCCTGTCTCTAATAAAAATACAAAAAAAAAAAAAAAATTAGCCGGGCGTGGTGGCGGGCACCTGTAGTCCCAGCTACTTGGGAAGCTGAGGCAGGAGAATGGCGTGAACCCGGGAGGCGGAGGTTGCAGTGAGCCGAGATTGTGCCACTGAACTCCAGCCTGGGTGACAGAGCGAGACTCTCCCTCAAAACAAAAAAAAAAAAAAAAAGAAAAGAAAATTTACCACACATGGTTCATTTCATTTAGTTCTCCATAGAAGGATGTATTAGTACCTCCATTAAAAGTATGAGTAAACTAAAGTTCTGAGAAATTAAGATCCAAAGTCACACAGCAAATGAGAGCAAAAATAAGAATTTAAACAAGGTGTAGTTTTGATTTTATGGAGCACTTACTATTTTCATGGCAGCAGTAACCTCTTTTATAGCACTCATATTCCTAGATTAAAAAGAAAAGTTGAGATTTTGCAGGTGGTGGAGCTCTTTTTGCTGTAAAATGGATAAAGATCCAAAACAAATGAAGGTATTCACAGTCTATAGCATCAATCACTCCTCTGATCTTAGCCCTAAAAAAAGAAATGGATTTGGCCTTAAAGTGACTCTCCCTTCCATTGTTATATAAATTATCTATTGTGGCTGCAGTCAGTGGACTCCACATAGCATGTGCTGCTAATTAGCCATGTGTGGTAGCTTAAAATAAAATCTTTTATGAGACTTGCAAAGTCAATTTAACTTTATCTTTCTAGCTAAAGAGGGAGAGTGCAGCAAGCAACAGTGATAGTATGTAATTTTAATTCAGTTCTTCACAAATAAAGATGAGAACCAATAGAAGGTGAATTTTGAAGCAGGTTTGATTTTTTATTAATGTTCTGTGAATATGGGCCCAAATCTATTATGACCAAGAGTTTATGTCAGATAACCAATGAACATGAGAGGGTCACACTGGGTCAAGGCAAACTTGACCCAAGCTACCTTCCCTCCATAGATGGGGCTTATGCCCAAGACTTTGACTTCTTTTTTTTTTTTTAGAAACTGATGTTTATTTTGCATCAACCATTTTTCCATGTTGCTTAAGAGCCCATGCAAGAACAGCTTAAGACCATTCAGTGGTTTCTCCTACCCATTCAGTGGCCTGAGCAGTGGGAGCTGCAGACCAGTCTTCCGTGGCAGGCTGAGCACTCCAGTCTTCAGTAGGGAACTGCTGAATAGGCACAGAGGGCACCTGCACACCTTCAGACCAGTCTGCAACCTCAGGCTGAGTAGCAGTGAACTCAGGAGCTGGAGCAGTCCATTCACCCTGAAATTCCTCCTTGGTCACTGCCTTTTCAGCAGCAGCCTGCTCTTCTTTTTCAATCTCTTCAGGATCTTTGTAGAAGTAGAGATCAGGCACGACCTCCCATGGGTGTTCATGGGAAATGGTGCCACGCATGCACAGAACTTCCCGAGCCAGCATCCATCACATCAAACCCACTCAGTGAGCTCCCTTGTTGTTGCATGGGATGGCAATGTCCACAAAGTGCAGAGGAGAATCTGTGTTACACAGAGCAATGGTAGGTAGGTTAACATAAGATGCCTCCATGAGAGGCTGGTGGTCAGCCCTGGGGTTAGTAACCACAAGAAGCTGTGGATCTGGTTAGTGAAGTTTCCAGGAGTGAAGCGGCCAGCAATTGGAGTGGCTCCAGTGACAGCAGCAAACTTCAGCACAGCCCTCTGGCCAGTATTCCTGGAGGATATAACACTGACAACAGCAGGGTTTTCAATGGCAACAATGGCACGAGCTGCCAACAGAAGCTTCTCCCAGGTCCTCTTCAGATTTATGATGTAGATGCCATCACTTCTCCTTTTATAGATGTACTGTTCCATCTGGAAGTCAAGATTGGTGCCACCTAAATGGGTTCCTGCTGTAAGGAACTTAAGGACATCCTCCTCCTTCATTTGCAGGACATCAAGGGCTCCGGACATTGTGAAAGTTTCCCTTTAAGTTATGACGGGAATCCAGAACAATGCCGTATGGACCCCTCTGTAGGTAGCATGGAAAGCAAGACTTTAACTTCTAAGCAACATTCTCTCATGCACTGTTGTCCACATTTGCCAGCTATTTAAATCACATTGGAGAGCTGATTAAAATTACAGATTGTCAAGATCACTTCCCTGGAGAATTTGATTCAGTAGATAGCATATGCTCTGGTAACCTCATGATCAAACTAGCATGAGGGTCAGTGCATTAAAAAAACTGAGTAGTTATGATTTGTTTTGAATGGCTGTTCCTCATAGCATTTAGAGCTGAAGGAAAAGCTGATACTTTAAGAATTTATCACACGTTATTCTTAACCACCTTGTATTTTATATCTTCAAAAGTGTAGATATAATTCAAAAAGTGTATTTTGAATTATAATTATATAATCATAATTCTATTGGGGAAAATTATGGAATTGTCAAAAATTTCAAGTTTTTTCTTCATAGACAATTGTTTAAACCTTCTCAGACTTCATTCTCTCTTTATTTTTCCATTTTTCTTTCTTTCTTTTTTTTTGTTGTTGTTGTATGCTTTTCCACTGTTTGACCCTTTGCCTCTTGGTCCAGATACTTCAACAGCACATGCTCAACTCCTCCAAATCACACAAATGCAAGTAATCAAATCTGATTAGTCTCTGTCCTGTCCACTGCATGTCTCCCTTGAGTAACAGTGCTGCCTTTCTCCGAATTGTCTCTCAATAAGTTGGGGCCATGAGCTTCATATAGTAGTTATTAACTCAAAACTAATAGAGAAACATGAAAGCCTGATGGGATGACAAATAGTTCCGTAACTCTTAAAGGAGTATTGGAAAATGCTGTAATTTTTGTAAGGTCCTCTGAGCTGGCCGCACCATGGTCAAGCCATCCTGACATTCTCGTGCCCTTGTGATAATGTACTTTGTGATATTCCCTGTCCTTGTGAATGTAGTTTGTAACATCCATCCCCTGCCTGCAAAAAATTGCTCCTAACTCCACCACCTATCCCAAACCTATAAGAACCAATGATAATCCCACCACCGTTTGCTGACTCCTTTCTCAGACTCAGCCCACCTGCACCCAAGTAAATAAACAGCCTTGTTGCTCACACTGAGCCTGCTCAGGTTACAGATGCGCATAACAATTATGTCTCGATTATATCAAGATTAAATCTAAAGTAGAGCTCAGATCGGATCTATTTTTAAGCCAAATCTCTGCTTGTGGCTAGATGTGGACTGTATGTACGGTCCACTGAATGCTGGTTTAAAATGAGATTGCATATCTTCCATTAGCTGCAATTGTATGGAGTGCTTGAATTTGGTTCATTTTCTAAAATGCTTATCAAAATGATTCTTTCAGATATGCATCCAGCTACAAGTTGATCACACCTTAGTATGTGTCATCACGAGTACAGTCTGGTGAATGGCAAATTACCCTTAATAACAGGAAGATGAAATCTGTTTCCTGTCTTGGCTGGTGACTGGCTGCCACTGTGGCCAAATCCCTTCAACTTCTTCCGCCTCAATTTTTAGCCTACAACCTAAATGAGCTGATGGAAAGCACGTTCTCTATAAAGCAGCTGTCTTCAAAATTCTAAGCATAATCACTTGTGATTGTTATCCAGGCAGTTTAGAAGCAACCGAAAAAGTCAGTTTTGTCCTTCCATTTTTAGCAGAAGTAACAAAAATTAGCAATAATATCCAAGAAGAAATATTCATGGTATATCTTTTCTCTATTTTCTTCTTTTTACAATCCAAAAGATTTTTTGTTTCTTCCCTTTATAACACAAATTCATAGGGAATAGAACATTCTATAAAACTTTACATAAGCTTGGAAGAGACTGCTAAATCTGTGAACCCCCAAAAGGGGATAACTCCCAATGCCTATATATATATCAATGTGGTCATGGGTGCCACAAGTGGCTTCCACACTACCTGTAAGTTTGAGGTTTTTCCTAATGCTGAATGCAAATCTGCTATACTACAGGTTTCATTCACTGGAAGATGAATGAAATTTATTTATATATTTGTTTATTTAGTGCTCTTAGGAAATGATTAGGAAATGTTTATTTAATGCTCTTAGGAAATAGAAAATGCTCATTACTTAGGAAAGTGCACACAATTATAGGACAAAATAAAATTTAAATGAGGCAAGTTAGGAAGTTGGAGAACATAAAAAGGAAAATAAAGTAAAACCAGAAACTAAATTATTGCATAAAAGACTTTCCCTGATCTTGTAAATTTACTAAGAATGGGACATCAATTTGCCTCTGAGATTCTGGCAGCTACCCATTGGTCTGACTTTTGCTCCCTGAAGCTACACTTAATAAATCAAGTCTCCCTTCCACAAGCATGTCCCACAGATACACAAAAAGAAGTACTGAGTCCTTTAGGCTAAATCAAAATGAATAATTTTACCTATTGCCCAGAAAACATTATTAATTTACTTAACCTTTGTAAGAAAATTCTAGTCAGCTCTATTGCCTCTATGCTTGAGACTCTAGGGCATTTGACTTCCTAACCTCATTCCACTTAACTTTTCGTTAAGTAGAGCACGTTTTCACATGGAAATTGAGCCATTTGTAGGAGAATAGTGGAACTGACAATAGCGAGGCCACAGTGGTAGCCAAGTCCACTTTTAAAACTTTCTTTCCTGACCTAAATAAAGTCAAGACCCATTTTTACATTCCCTTCCAGTGACCCACAATAGGCAGCATAGAGAGTCGTTACCTACCTGGGGGATTAAGTAGTTATTTGCCTTCCTGACTTGATAGAATTGCACTGAAACCCTGCAAAGTGAAAGGAAACTATCCTATTTTAATTGTTTTGGCAAAGGGGATTATCTGTGGGAACTCCTTGGATATTAGAGTGATCTGGCTCTAATATCCGTCATCCTTACAATGTCAGCATTGTGGTTCAATACATTTGGCTGTTAGACGGGCTAAGACTTTTTCTCCTTCTATTCTGTGTATATTCTTGCCCAAATATGGCATTTGGTGAAGAAGACATCAGAAAAATCACAGAAATGTCTGAACTCCTATGCTCAAACCTCCAGCGAACGTCAAAACACATATCTGAGCAAGATAAACTGTAAAATCTGTTACTCTATGGTTAGCAGGATTAAATCTTGCCTTAGCCTTTAAATTGTGAAAAGTTTATCTTCAGGCCCATGCACAAGTCTACTTGCCTGCTGCCACAGCCAGCAAGAAACAACCAGTGTTTCTGTCTCCATGAACCCAGAACATATAAGTGAATCACACACCACTTTAAATATGTTAAATACCCCTCAAATCAAGTGGCAATTCCCATCAGCCAGCTGTGATCTGCATCTAATTCATCACCAACTTCTTCTCAGATACCATTCAATTAGGCATTCTAGAAAGATTCAAGATGAACCAAACACCGCAGAGATCAGAGCTAAATATGCTTCCCAAGGTTGTATCCTAAGTAACTCGGGTTTGGAAGTCAAGAGAGACAAAAATATTGGCATAACTCCACTGTGAACTAATCACACCTTTTAAGCACCTTCATATTACCATCAGAGCTCTAGTATCAAAGATTTTACAAAGGTATCTCCTGGAATTCATTTTCACCTCCAACCTCTCAGAAATGAGTGACCGAAAATTGTAAAACCATTTTTGTTATTCAGAGAGGTGATGGTGTCCTCAACGATTAAGGCAGCCTTTGGTTGTCTTGGCAACAAGATGCAAGGGAAAGCCCAGAATGTAAGCACTTCTCTTATATCCTGTTTTTGGCCCTGGTACACTGACTTTCTTCAGCATCTAGCTGCCAGAGCAAGTGGCAAGTTGCCATTTTTTTATATTGCCATATCAATATGATGTTTTGAGAGAGAGCTACCTTACTTTTGATCAAGAGATATCAGGCCTCTGATATTTACTCGTGATACTTTGAAAAATCCCTGTTAAGTGCAAAGACTGAAAAAGAATAAAATAAAGCAATCAGAACTTCAGGAAGGTAAATAAATATAATTATACAAGAAAAGCATGATCCAAATAAAAGGCAAGCTACAACAGAGCAGAATGAATTTGAGTGACTGGTAAAATATATACCAAAAACTTGAACTTGATACTAGGACTGGTATATTTTGTGAGTCACAAAGGTTATGACATTGAAACTGTAGAAAAGGATATGTAATCATAATAAACTACTTGGCTATGTAGATAACAATGCTGACTTCTCATAATGATGTAAGCAATTTTACTTTTCAACTTTTAAGATTAGTGTATGGACAAATCACAAAGGCCATCAAACTTGAACTTGCATATGTTATTTTAAGTTCCCAGGTAGAAGCAATAAAAATAGGTAAAGGAAATAGGTCCTCATCTTCCAGGGTGGGGAACAAAATATTCTATATAAAAATAAGAAATGAATATTTAAATTATGTGGCTAGAATTTGAAGTAAAGAAATAAACCTTATTGGTTATATATGCTTTCCTACTTAATGCAATACGCTGGAGAGTATATATAAGCAATAAGTTTCATATATATATGCAATAAGTAAGATAGCAGAATATTTGCATTTCATATAGTAGGAGGTAAATTTTAAAATAATTTCTAAAGTATATGTTTTGAATAGCAGTTATAGTGCATGGTTAACAGAGTTATGGAGGCAACCAGCAGATGAACTAAATTAAAAAATTCTAAGAAACACTTCCTTCTGATAAGTGGTGCTAAAAATGCAGAAGGATAAGTAGGACTCTGTCACTTTTCTGCTATAAAATTTTCTGTATTATTTTACTTCTTACAATATCCATGTAACAAGATGTTTTCAGTGCTATCTTTGCCTATTTACTCTCTACAGTCAACAGAAATCCAGATAGATAAGTAATTATCATTGAAGTAGAAACTGAGGGAGGGCTCAAGAACCTCGTCCTGAGAGTCAAGGAAAGGTCTCTAACATTCAGATTAAGGACATGGTTGAGTTGTTTCATTTAAAATGTTATAGCTTTCTGATTTTTAACAAACACCGAGACAATTTTAGATTAAAGTTAGAAGTGCCACCACATTTAGTATAAAACTTTTAAGGCCTACAGATCAATTCATGCTTCTAACCATCCCACACAGCCTTTCTGCAATGAAAATGTGATCGCACTATGATAGAACCTTGACAAAGAAATGTGTTTAAGAACATATAGTGATAATATCACAATTTTCTTACTTGCGCAACATACAGACTCCTAAAGCCTTAAATATCTTTATGTTTACTATTAACTTATCCAAATTGTAAATGAGGGAGATTGGAAAGAGCACAATTTATTTCACTCAAAATCAAGTGACTCCTTTTAAGGTCATGTGGCCAATAGAGAGTCCAGGCCTTAAGTAAAAATGATTTGATTCAAATTCAGTATTTGGTTTGCTAATCTCAGACTCACAGCAACTATAGTTACTCTTTATTGAACACTAATTATAAGCTAATTTTTATACATCTATTAGCCCATTTTTTTCCTCATATTGTGCAATTATTATACTCATTTACCGATAAGAAAACTGGGAAATAAAGAAATGAATTTATACAAGTGGGCTTAGCTAGTATGTGAAAAATTTAGGATCTCAACACAGAAATCACTGGCATAACATAAGATCAGATTGGAAGAGACCTATAAAACTTCTCAGCCTAACTTATTTATTTTATAATAGGAAAAAATCCTGGATCATAGAGGAAAATTAACTTGTCCAAAATTACACAGCTGGTTAGTGACAGAGCCAAGACTAGAACCCACGGATTCTGGCATCCAATCTAATTCTCTTTCACCACAGAAGGTCAGAAAATGTTAAACTTTGTGAAACTCTACAACCCATCTGGGTTTTTTTTTAAGTGCCAGAATTGTAAGTCTTCATAATAAGTTAACTTGGGATCTAGAGAAATTTAATATCATCACACTTTCACATTTGTCAGGGCCATGAGATTTAATGAAAACACAGCACCCAATGATGCTACAATTTTTCATACTCAACAGTGCAACAAAAAATCCACTTAACCATCTTTGTAGGGACACCGCAAAGTCATCAAAAGAAGCATCTGTCATTCAGATGCCTTCCATGTTGAAGAAATGTTTCTTAGAATTAACTAATGATTAGAACCAAAAGTAAAACTTGTAGATAGGGAAATTCATGTATAAGAAAATTAAAACACAAAATCAAGAATTCAATCCAGATGTCTATCTGGTACACTCTTAATAAAAGTGCTTTAAGTTGGCTTAGGCAGTAAATAAAAAAAAAAAAAGAAACAATTTACTGCTTCCTGCTCTGGCCTCCAAGGTTGTGAATACTGACTTTTAAATATTAGAATGTCTTATGAAGATTTCTCTTCAGCTCAGGAAAAAATTCTATTTTAACTGTATCATCTATCAAATAAGATAATAATTATTAAAAGTAAGCATTGCAAACTGGTTGGCTCACCAGCTGAATTTGGGCCATGGAAAAGTATTTTTTGGAGGTCTGCACTCTCTAGTTCACCACTGCTCTCACCAAGACCATTCTTACATGCTTAGCACCTAGTCTCTACAAACATTTTAATTGGTGATTCCCCCTAAAGCAACACATAGCTCTCCTTCTTCAAGTTCTAAATTTAAAAGCCCTTAGAAAATGTAGTTACTATGTTAGACATTTTTCTACTTAGGAAAAATAGTCAAGGAGAGAAAATCTTAAGCCTTCAATACCCCTTTTAGGTGTGTTTTTCTTTCTGTCTTCATCACCCGTTTTTATGTCTCAAAATGTCCACATCCCAGGGTCCTTGATTTTGGCCTTCACATAATGTTTTTCTTGACTCTTAAATTCCATATAAAACTTATCAGAACACAGTCCTAATCCCTAAGCAAACTAAACCACCAATTTCCAAAATTTACTACTCCAATTGATACATCAATAATCAAGATGATAATATATTGATGTATTCTTCATTCAGATAACTTAAAGTAGAATAGTGAAACTTCAGAAACACATACTTTTATCCCAAAGGACTTTCAAAATTTTAGAAACTATGGCAGTTCAAAAAAAGGAGGCATTTTTTCAGAAGCAGCAGGCCTACCCATTGGCAAGCCCTGCTGACATGAAATGAAAAGAGAATGTTTCACAATAATCAGTTTCTGTTAATAATGAAAGACAAGATCAAACACTTCATTCATAGTGAACAGAGCACAAACTCACCATAATTTCATTTAAATATTCCAGCCAGCTGTGGTGGCTCATGCCTGTAATCCCAGCATTTGGGAGGCCAAGGTGGGTGGATCACTTGAGGCCAGGAGTTTGAGACCAGCCAGGCCAACATGGCGAAACTCCGTCCTACTAAAAATACAAAAAAGTATCCAGGGATGATGGCACATGCCTATAATCCCAGCTACTTGCGAGGGTGAGGCATGAGAATTGCTTGAACTCAGGAGGCAGAGGTTACAGTGAGCTGGGATCATGCCACTGCACTCCAGCCTGGGTGACAAAGCAAGACCCTGTCTCAAAAAAAAAAAAAAATCTGCAACAGCTACCAAATGACCTATTTCTAATCCATATCTGATGACAAGTTATTTTAATGTATTTGTGACAAATAAAAACTCCCTGTGATGGCACCAGCGTGCTTGGTGGGAGAGAAAGAGGAACATCATAGGCAAGCACCCAAACTTGAGAGACACAGTTCTTTCATGCCAACAAAGATGGAAAACAGTATTCTAGCTAGATCTTATTAGAAATGCCACGTGTTTCTTTGAATAAACTGTTGACCAGTGAAGTAAGTACTCAGTAGAAGAATCCACTCTTTACATCGTGCTTCAATCTTCTTACTTTTCATATATTTTGTAAATAACAAGGCATTTTGAAATCTCTATTATGTGTGTGGCTACATTGTATTAGATACTAAGGGGACGTCCTTTTTCTGGAGAAATGTAACAGTCACTTTGGAAGAACATGATTATATATGGAAACATTAATCTGTAAGTAAGTGCTTATTTAACACAGATAAATTTTGCTGAATTCAAAGAAGAGATAAATTAATGTGTCCTGAAACATTCACCTACACCAAAAGTTGAGAACAGGCAGGTCCCTGCATATATGAGAATGCTCAACAACCAAAAGAAGCTTTGAACTCATAATTCATGACTTGCTTTTACCTATATAACTTCTTCAAGGTCAATCCAAGTGGTTTTGTGTAGGAATAGTTTCCTTTTATCACTGAATAGTTTTCCATGCTATGGGTGTACCACAGTGCCAGCATTTGATGTTATTATGTTTCATTGTGGCCATTCTGATAGGTGTGTAACAGTATCTGATTGTGATTTTAATTTGCATTGTCTATTGGCT
Source organism: Homo sapiens (assembly GCF_000001405.40). NCBI lineage: Eukaryota > Metazoa > Chordata > Mammalia > Primates > Hominidae > Homo > Homo sapiens. The sequence continues at coordinate 110,691,491 of NC_000003.12, forward strand.
AATGATGTTGAACATCTTATGTGCTTATTTGTCATGTATTCTCTTTGGTAAAATGTTTGTGCATGTTTTATCCTGTTTTCAAATTGAATGTTTTTCTACATCTCACTCCCCCCTCCACCTCTGCCTCATCTTAAATTTCTTTAATTATCACCCCAGGTGATTCTGATGTACAGTTATATTTAAAAATTAGAGCCTCAGGGACAGGAAGAAGAGAGGAAGAACCTGAGTGGACAGCCAAATGACCTGCTCCAATCATCGAGAGGACACTGTCACTAAAGGATGAAGGAAAGGGAGATGAGAAAATGGGAAAGGATCTCAGGAAGAAAATGGAAAGGTCCGAGTTAAATGTGATTTACTTTGCAATGTTATTCAGCTAACTGTGCTGATACTGAAAGTCACCCTAAAAAGCATGTGCTCTTGGGGGACTCGGCAGAGTTAGGCTATCATCTTCCCAAAGGTATGAACCTGAGACAAGTAGCCTTTCAAGGTTTTTTTCCCCATATCTGTGGTTATGATGGCTGTGGGAGAGTCAGGTGGAAGGTGTACTGAAGCCAGAGCTGCTAGCAAGAACAAGTAACTGCCAAAGTTGGTACATTTCACCTAACCTCATACCTCTTGGATCTTATTTTGTTCCTACAAGAGATGCTTATGCCATCAGCTGAAAACTTCACTGACATACTCACTGTGAAATAATTGAAGAGAAAGGAAGGGACAAAACTCTGAGGTTTTGTACAAGTGTCACAGGAAACAAAGTGAAATGTTGGACTGCAGGAATCTGAGACCAAACTGCTGCTCTGGTCTTGAACAGCTGTTCACCTAGAGAGCTCACTGTGCAGTTGTTCCTGATGGCCAGCTTCATTTTTTTGAAGAAGTTTTATTAAGAAGAGTTTTATTAAGAAGTAAACTGGACAGATTACTAGACTGCTTTAGCAAAGGTTAAAACAGCCAACATGGAGTCTCCTGGTGGTAATTTAAAGAGCTGATGACAGACTTTATCTAAGCATGCTAACCTTAAGAGTTTAGATTTTCTACTTCCATCATCAACTTCCTTTTTATTTCTATTAGAGTCTGGGAAGGTTTTATCCCCACCACAACCTCAACCCCCAGCCAATGAGACCTACCTGGGCAGGCTTGGGAGGGTCTCAGCAACTCAAAAGCAGTCAAATATTTTGTTTTGCTTTTTTCTCAAATATCAGTCAGAAGAAAAAGTGACCTTTTAGGAGCAAAGTTTCATAAAGAATGTGTAGACTATGTCCCTTTTACCCAGGTTATTAGGCCATTCTTGCATTGCTATAGAGAAATACCTGAGACTGGGCAATTTATAAAGAAAAAAGGTTTAATTGGCTTATGATTCTGCAGATTGACAGGAGGCATGGTGCTGGCATCTGCTCAGCTTCTGGGGAGGCCTCAGGAAACTTACAATTATGGTGGAAGGTGAGTCTTACACAGCAGTAGTAGGAGCAAGAGAGAGAAGGGAGAGGGGCTACACACTCTTAAACAACCAGATCTCATGAGAACTCACCTACTGTCAATAACACAGTACCAAGAGGGATGAAGCTAAACCATTCATGAGAAACCCACCCCCATGATCCAGTTACCTCCCACCAGGCCCCACCTCCAACATTGGGGATTACAATTTGACATGAGATTTAGGTAGGGACACATTTCCAAATTATATCACCTAATAGTACCCAATTGGATCAAACACATTTCAGAAGCTGTTTCAGCAAAGATTTAGAACAAAGCAACTCCCTCAGCCTATGGGAATAGCATGTCAAACCTTAAGGAGAAGGTAAGGCATCTTTTTTATTAAATTTCAGGCTGGAAATTCTTTCATGAGTCAAGTTTTTGTTGCTTTTTTTTTTTTTAACAGCTTCCTGTTTCATCCAACCAGCCACTACTTTAACCAAGTTTAGCATAATTGCCAAAAGAGAAATTCCTCAAACCATCAGCAGCATTAATTAGCTTTGACTGTAACTTTTCAAGAACAAATTGTCATCATGTAGGGCAGCAAGTTCCACAGTTTCTCTGTGAAGAAAAAAATTAGGCAGCATCTGAAGGGAACGTCAAAAATGAATTCTCTACTCAAGGCTTACTTTCATGGACAGCATAGATCTAACCTGTTGACTTGAACATCGCTTAGTATCAGCAAGTAATAAAAGGGGAAAGAAAGGAAGCAGAAAACATAAAGAAAGGTGGGGGAAAGGGAAAGCAAAGACCAGTGAAAAGATCAATTTGAACATAGGATGTTTATGCTAAATAGATTATCAGTTTCCAGGAGCCTTGCAGATCCAGGTATTTAATATATCTACATTATGTATTGACAGAAAAGTCATGCCCATGGATGCTTGGTATTCATTATAGTAGTATTTGTATCTCATATCATTATAAAGAGAAAATGAAACAACTTACTATAAATACATTAAATTAATGGATATAATTGGGGAGAGAGTTGGGGTTTGTTTGATTGAGTGGATATATTAGCCATTAAACAGAATGGAGAAAGCAACTCTCCCTCCAAGTCAAAATAGGTTGCTAAAAGGATGAGATTCAAGAAAAGTAAGAGATGATGCCTTTCCAACTCAATGACATTAGGAATAGTGTTCACGACACATGGTCCTCTGTTTAATGAGAATAGCTACTTACCATCATGACTTCCAGAAAAAAAAAAAAAAAAGGGTCAAGAGCTCTGGCTCAAGGAGGCAGGATCTAGGCTTTAAGTCCCTAGAGGGCAGGCTCTATGGCCATCTGCCTTCACTCCTGAATTACTGGCACATAGTAAAAGTCTTGGAATGTCACAAATATTCAGTAGACAAGAGTCAATGACCCAGACAGCTAGGAAAGAATTCCCCTAAAAGTCAGCCCATATTCCCAAGACCTGGGGAATTTGAAGGAATTGGAAGATGTAAGAAAAAATAAATAAATAAAAACATGCTCTGTAGGAAAAGAAATTAAGAGTTGTAGATTATGAAGTGATGATTTGAATAGATTTTGCAGACTGAAGATTCTTGGGTATTGCTAATGTCTACATCCATTTGGTATGTTGCAAGTTTTTACATATGTATATATATGTGTAAATATGTATATATGTGTAAATATATATGTATATATGTATAAAATACATCTATATCTAGTATAGAGTATTAGAATTAAATTTCTTAATTACTTTGTGAATAGACTGCTTACCCTGTGTTTCAAATGTTATACAGAATTTTAGTATAGTTGATTCTGATACCCTGAAATACTCCATGAAACAAATTGCTTGGTGAAATTGATACAAAATTAAATAGATCATGATCATAAAATTGTTGTTTCACTCTGTACCAAGGAAAATTAAATAGAGATAAAAGTGGAGTAAATAAGTAGCATACACAGACCATGACCAGAAAATGCACACATTCATGCCACCACTCTCGGATTCCCACTGATGGCAGAGTAAGGAATCCATCACAGCTCTCTCCCATTTGAGTATGCGTGCTACACCTAACTCTCTGGCTGGTGCTCTAGACATCTGTAAATAACTGATTGGGATTACTGTGGAGGTTAAAACTTCATCACAATCCCAGACTTTAGCCGTAAGATCTAAGTAACTGCTAAAATAAAGCAACCCACATATTTAGCGCTATGCTTTCTAGTAGCCCAGCAAAAAAAAAAAAAAAAAAAAAAAAAAGTATGCTGTGTAGTTTTTATTGGCAAAAAAGATAAAATCAAAAGTTTCTAAAGGAAGCAAATGATTTTTAAAAAATATTTTTTCTATAAAATAAATTTCCGATGCAGGCTTTTTTTTTATAGGGACACAATATTTTCAAAAATATTTCTATAGAAAATGTAACAGGTTTCATATCGTCTTAGAATATCATTCAGTTGACCAACATATGATATGAGAGCATTGCATTTTGACCTCTGGATCCAGAGGCTGTGCAAATTCAAGGAGAGAGCAGAGAACATTTAGAGAAATAATTGGCTTCTGTGTCCTTCAAACACCACTTCTCTCACTATATTTTTGATAACAGTTTGATATCTGCAAACTGCTATTCCCTATTTTTTATTCTCATTAGAGATTACATTGCTATTTTTTAATAGAAAATAAAGGGCACAATCAAGATTTCTCAAGGAATTCTTCCTTGCAGGAAGGTGGGTGATGAAAAACCTTATCGATTTCAAAAGAGTTATTGAACACTTAAAATGTAGCAACTGCTGTGGTAGCCACCACAGGAACAAAGATAAACAAAACAAAAATTCAGGATGTTGATGAGTTAAAGAATGAATGAAGATGAGTAAATGCAGACCCAGTGAAACACAGATTACTCTTGCAAGACACTTGACCTCAAAGAAAAGGAGCAATAGTTAAAGGTGAATGCAAGTCAGGTTCACTTAAATCATATTATGGAAATGCCCAAAACATAAAATTACCAATCTGTCCAAATTATATCCTCAATGTCTGTGATGCCCTAGCCTCTAGCATCACAGTGTCCTAGTATGAAATCATAAAAGTGACAATTTAAAAAATAATAATAAAAGACAATATATTTAAAACAAGGTATCCTTTGAGCAGAAGCTAGCTATGCAATTATTTACATTGTAATACTCTCAAAATAGTGTGAGTTGGAACTAAGCATAATAAAAAATGATCCTCAAGAGAATAATATTCAAAGAATAAAATGACATCTATACTGTTACATTAAAAAGTACACCTCAGAAAGCATAAGTTTTATCTGGTCCAGTCTCTTCATTTTTTAAAATTTAATTTTTTTATAGATTTAGGAGGCATAAGTACAGTTCTATTATTATATGGTTATATTGCATAATGGTGAAGTCTGGGCTTTTAGTGTAATCATCACCCAAATAGTGTCCATTATACCCAATAGGCAGTTTACTTCTCATCCCCTACCCCTCTCTCACCTGCCACCTTTTGGAGTCTTCAATGTCTATTATTCTACTTTGTATGTACAAGTGTACACATTGTTTAGTTCCCACTTAAAAGTAAGAATATGTGATATTTGACTTTGTTTCTGAGTTATTTCACTTACGATAATAGCTTCCAGTTTCACGTTGCTGCAAAAGACATGATTTTATCATTTTATGGCTGAGTAGTAATCTATGGTTTATATATACCACATTTTCTTTATTCAATCATACATGATGGACACAGGTTGATTCCATGACTTTGCTATTGTGAATAGCGCTTCTATAAGCATATGATTGCTGATGTCTTTTTTACATAATAATTTGTTTTCTTTTGGGTAGAAACCCAGCAGTGAGATTGCCTCATGGAATGGTAATTCTACTTTTAGTTATTTGAGAAACTTTGTTTTCCACAGAGGCAGTACTGATCTACATTCACACCAACAGTGTATAAGTGTTTCCTTTTGTCTGCATCTTTGCCAACATCTGTTATTTTTTTGACATTTTAATAGTAGTCATTCTGAATGGTATAAGATGATATCTCATTATGCTTTTAATTTACATTTCTCTGATGATTAGTGATGTTGAGCATTTTCTCGTATGTTTCTTGGCCACTTGAATGTCTTCTTTTGAAAATGTCTGTTCCTGTCCTTCGCTCACTTCTTAATGAGGCTGTTTTTTTCTTACTGAGTTGTTTGAGATCTTTGTATATTCTGGATATTAGTCCTTTTTATTTAATACTGTGGAAAAGTGATGTTGGTAAATTGATAGGAATTTCATTGAATCCATAGATAACTTTGGGTGATATGGTCATTTTAATGATATTGATTCTTCCAATCCATGAGCATGTGATTCTTTCCATTTTTTTGTATCATCTATAATTTATTTCACAGTATTTTACAGTTCTCCTTGTAGAGATCCTTCACCTGCTTGCTTAAAGGTATTACTAGGTACTTTTTTCTGTAGCTATTGTAAATGGGATTGAGCCCTCGATTTGGTTCTCTGCTTTATTGTTATTGGTGTATAGAAATGCTAATGATTTTTGCACATTGAATTTGGATCCTGAAACTTTACTGTTCATTTAAATATAATTCTTAGAAGATGACATTCCTGCTCTATTGCTTTCTACCTGCCTGAATAGTCTTATATTTATTGAATACTGAACTTTCAAGGAATTTTAAGAGGTAAAGTCCTGGACCTTCCTTAGAAAAGAGAAAGAAGAATGGAGGCTAGTCTTTAAAGATTTGCATTTTCAGGACAAAAATACAGCTTGGGATGAATTATACAAAGACTTCTGAGTGTTCCATGGGATAATGTGACATATTAAAAAATATGAAAATCCTATCATATTGGCTTTCCATTGTTATAATAATAAATTACCACAAACGTAGTGGCTTAAAACAATAGAAATTTATTATCTTACAGTCTTGGAGGCTAGAAGTGTGAAGTCAGTTTCATTTGGCTTAAGTCAAGATGTCAGCAGAGCCATGCTCCCTCTGGAAACTCAGGGAAGAATTAGTTTCACTTCCTTTTCCAGGTTCTAAAGATCACCTGCATTCCTTGGCTTGTGACCTCTTTCTCCATCTTGAAAGCTAGCAGCATAGCATCTTCAAATGTCTCTCTGCTTCCATCACATTCCCTTCTTCTGTGTAGCAAAATTTCAATCACTGTCTTTCTCTCTCTCCCCGCCCCCTCCCCCCGCCTCCCTCTTAGCAACAATGTTTTATTGAGCAACGTATTAAGCACTGTATTAGTTCCCATGGATACAGAGTGAGTGAAATCAACATGATTCCTTCCTTCAGGAAGCAGAGGTCATGCCTGGGACAAGTAATTCCCAAATATTTCTTTAGAAAATGTAATCTGTTCCTTACCAACTGTATCTTGATCATATCTTTTTTGGAATTGAATATTGTTTTCACATTCTTCTTTTTTCTTAAAATCATCCGTTTCTTCTGTGCTTTCTTCTCTTTTGCTTTTAAATCAACATTTTCAAAAACCTTTACTTGACTCTGCTGGCTTATGTAACGTCATCTTCTTTCCTTTGCTACAGTGAGAGAAGTGGTCTGAATTTGGTTTCCTAACTTCTCATCATCCTTTAACTTCTGCAGTCCCACTTGTTCCTGATTCTCAAATTACACTTTCTCCCGTGGTCATCAGAGACCTTTCCTTAGTCTTCCCTGTGGAATCTGATGTCATTCACACTGCTCCCTCCCCAACATGTAAACTTCCCCTCTTCTCCCAGAATACTTTTTAAAATTATTGTGGTAAGATCACTTAATATGTCTATCCTCTCAACACATTTTTAAAAATACAATACAATTGACCCTTGAAAAACATGGGGGTTCAGAGTGTCAATCCCCCCAAAACACAGTCAAAAATCCATGTAAAACTTTTGACTCTTCCAAAACATAACTACTAATAGCCTACTGTTGACTGGAAGCCTTATCCATAACATAAATAGTTGATTCACACATATTTTATATGTTATATATATTATATACTGTATTCTTACAATAAAGTAAGCTGGACAAAAGAAAATGGTATTAAGAAGATTATAAGGACAAAAACATATTTACTATTCATGAAGTGAAAGTGGATCATGCTCATCTTCACACTGAGTAGACTGAGGAGGAGGAGGAAGAAGAGGGGTTGGTCTTGTTGTCTCAGTGGTAGTAAAGGCAAACGAAAATCTGCATCTAAGTAGACCTGCACAGTTCAAACCCATGTTATTCAAATATCAATTGTGCATTACATTTTTGCCTTTCTCCTATAAGGACACTTGTGATTACATTAAGGGCCCACCCACAAAGTACAAGATAATCACACTATCTCAAGATCCTTACCTTAAACAGATCTGCAATAAGGTAATATTCACAGGTTCTATCTAACACATAGATACCTTTGGGGGCCACCTACCACACTTATCAAGGGAAACACATATTTCAAAAATCCATTGAGATTGTTCCAAATAACATGTATGTTCCACAGAACATATTCCTACTGTGTTATGATGGAGATGATATAATACAAATAGCAAAAGGTAATGGTGGATTGATTTAATATATTAGAATGTTCATGCATTATTCTTTGCCATTTAACCAAGTCATCTCACCTAGTATATAAACATAAGTAAATTATAAGAAGGAAATAAAGAAATAAATATGAGAAAAAAACCTCAATTGGTAGATGATGAAATGAGACCCATATAATTCATAAATTGCTCAAGTGCATATATTCACAGTATAGTATCAGCAAACTTGAATTCAAGGCAATTGACAACACATCCCAGAGGGTTTCTTGTATTATCAGCAAAATTATTTTTGTTCTTCAGTAATTTTATTCTAGTTACCAAAATGATCTATTAGAAAAATATTCTGGAAAGCACAAAGAATAACAATAATAATTATTCATAATTCTACCATTCAAAGATAAACAGAGTTAGCATCACAGAGAATATCTTTCTTCTAATTATATGTATATTTATATCTTTATATAAATATACACACACTTGGAATCATAATGTACAAACTTAAAAGTTACTTTTTTTCACTCCACAATATAATGAACATTTTCTCCTATATTCTTCTACAACACACTTTTTAACAGCTACATTAATATTCTACAAGGTGGCTGCACCATAATTTATTTATATAATGCTTTATTGTTGAAAACAGCTTTTTTTGTTCTTATCCATTGTTGCAATAACACTCATGCATATGCCTGGTTATTTGTTCTAAATAGCCTAGAAGTAAAATTGTTGGGTCATGGGATATAAATAATCTGTTTTCCATGCTTATTCCTACCCATTCTTCTAGAACCACATTTCACATCATGGTCTCTGTCATGCATTTGCTGATCCACTGTCCATTCCCAATCCACAGGCAGAAGCAGCATCACTTTGTACTTTCCTACAGTGTACATTATAGCTGCCTCTACATACTAAACATAGAGTACACCATTATATTATTTTTAATTTTTTATTTTCTTGGGTACATAGTAGGTGTACATATTTATGGGGTACATGAGATATTTTAATACAAGCATGTAATGCATAATAATCACATCAGAGTAAATGGGGTATCCATCAACTGAAGCATTTATCCTTTGTGTTACAATCTAATTGTACGCTTTTAGTTATTTTTAAATGTACAATTAAATTATTTTTTAAAATAGTCACCCTGTTGTGCTAGCAAATACTAGGTCTTATATTATACATTTTTTCAAACTATGTTTTGTACCCATTAACCATCCCCGCTTGTCCCCTACCCACTCCTCTCTACCACCCTTCCCAGTCTCTGGTAATTATGCTTCTACTGTCTATCTCCATGAGTTCAATTGTTTTAATTTTTAGCTCCCACAAATGAGTGAGAACAAGTGAAGTTTGTCTTTCTCTGCCTGGCTTATTTCACTTAACATGGTAACCTCCAGTTTCATCCATGTTGTTGCAAATGACAGGATCTCATTTTATTTTTTGATGGCTGAATAGTACTTCATTGTGTATATGTACCAAACTTTCTTTACCAATTCATCTGTTGATGGACACTTAGGTTACTTCCAAATCTTGGAATATTCACTATTGTGAGTAGCACTGCAATAAACAGAGTACAGGTATCTTTTGACATACTGATTTCCTTTCATTTGGGTATATATCTAGTAGCTGCATTGCCAGATCATATGGTACTTCTATTTTCAGTTTTTTTGAAGAATCTCTAAACGGTTTTCCATAGTGGTTGTAATAATTCATATTCCCACCAACAGTGTATGAGGGTTCCCGTTTCTGGACATTCCTGTCAGCATTTGTTATTGCCTGTCTATTGGGTATAAGCCATTTTAACTGGGGAAGATAATATCACACTGTAGTCTTGATTTGCATTTCTCTGATGATCAGTGATGTTGAGCACCTTTTCATATACCTATTCACCCTTTACATGTCTCCTTTTGAGAAATGTCTATAGAGATCTTTTGCCCATTTTTTAAATGAATTATTAGATTTTTTTTTTGTATAGACTTGTTTGAGCTCTTTATCCATTCTGGTTATTAATCCCTTGTCAGATGGATAGTTTGCAAATATTTTCTTCCATGTTTTGGGTTGTCTCTTTACTTCGTTGATTGTTCCCTTTGTTATGCAAACGTTTTTTAACTTAATGTGAACCATTAACCATTAATCATTGTCCATTTTTGCTTTCATCGCCTCTGCTTATGGAGTATTACTCAAGAAATCCGTGCCCAGTCCAATGTCCTGGAGAGTGTCCTCAATGTTTCCTTGAAGTAGTTTCATAGTTTGAGGTCTCAGATGTAAGTTGTTTGTTTGTTTGTTTGTTTGTTTGTTTGTTTTTGAGACAGAGGCTTGCTCTGCCATGCAGGCTGGAGTGCAGTGGAGTGATCTCAGCTCACTGCAACCTCTGCCTCCCGGGTTCAAGTGATTCTCCTGCCTCAGCCTCCTGAATAGTGGGGATTACAGGCACGTGCCACCACGCCCAGCTGATTTTTGTATTTTTAGTAGATACGGGGTTTCACCATGTTGGTCAGGATGATCTCAAACTCCTGACCTTGTGATCCACAGACCTCGGCCTTCCAAAGTGCTGGGATTACAGGCGTGACCCACCATGCCAGGCTGATTCTATTTTTGCATAAGGTGAGAGATAGGGGTCTAGTTTCACTCTTCTCCCTATGGATATCCTGTTTTCCCCAGTGCCATTTATTGAAGAGACTGTCCTTTCTGCAGTGTATGCTCTTGGAAACTGTAAAAAATGAATTCACTGTAGATGTATGGATTTATTTCTGGGTTCTCTATTCCATTCCACTAGTATATGTGTTTGTTTCTATGCCAGTACCATGCCATTTTGGTTACTATAGCTTTGCAGTATAATTTGAAGTCAGGTAATGTGATCTTGCCAGTTTTGTTCCTTTTGCTTAGGATAGCTTTGTCTATTCTGGTTTTTTTGTGGTTCCATATACATTTTAGGATTTTTTTTTTCTATTTCTGTGAAGAGTATCCTTGGTACTTTCACAGGGATTGCATTGATTCTGTAGATTGCCTTGGGTAGAACAGACATTTTAACAATATTGATTCTTCCAATCCATGAACATGGAATATTTTTCCATTTTTTAAATATGTCCTCTTCAATTTCTTTCATTAGTTTTTTATAGTTTCTATTGTAGAGATCTTTCACTTATTTAGTTAATTCCTAGGTAGTTAATCTTACTGGTACCTACTGTAAATGGGATAATGGGATTACTTTTCTTGGGTTCTTTTTTTTTTTTCTTTATCCTAAGTGAGACAAGGTCTCACCCTGTTGCCCAGGCTGGAGTGCAGTGGCATGACCAGGGCTCACTGAAACCTAGACTTCCTGGGTTTAAGCAAACCTCCCACCTCAGCACCCCCAAGTAGCTAAAACTATAAGTATGTGCCAACACACCTGGCTAACTTTTTAAAATTTTAGTATGGACAAGGTCTCACTATGTTTCCCAGGCTGGTCTTAAAGTTCTGAGCTCAAGCGATCCTCCTACCTTGGCCTCTCAAAGTGTGGGATTATAGGCATAAGCAACCATACCTGGCTCTTCTTTTTCACATTGTTCACTGTTGGCATATACCAGTGCTATTGTTTTTTGTATGCTGATTTTATATCTTGCAATTTTACTGAATTTATCAGTTTTAATATTTTAAGGTGGAGTCTTTGGGTTTTTTACAAATATAAGATCATATCATCTGCAGAAAAAGGATAACTTGACTTCTTCCTCTCAAGTTTGGACACCCTTTATTTCTTTCTCTTGTCTGGCTACTCTAGGTAGGACTTCCAGTACTATGTTGAATAACAGTTATGAAAATGGGTGTATTAGTTCATTCTCATTATGCTATAAAGATACACCCAAGACTGAATAATTTATAAAGAAAAATGAGTTAAATGAACTTACAGTCTCACATAACTGGGGAAGCCTCACAATCATGGTGGAAGCAAAGGAGGAGCAAAAGCACGTCTTGCCATGGAGGCAGGCAAGAGAGCATGTGCAGGGGAACTACCCTTTATAAAACCATCAGATCTCATGAGACTTACTCACTATCCCAAGAACAGCATGGGAAAAACCCACCCCCATGATTCAATTACCTCCCACAGGGTCCCTCCCATGACACATGGGGAGCTAAAAATTCAAGATGAGATTTGGGTGGGGACAGAGCCAAACCATATCATTCCACCCCTGGCCCCTCCTGAATCTCATGTCCTCATATTTCAAAACCAATCATTCCTTCCCAACTGTTCCCCAAAGTCTTAATTCACTATAGCATTAACTCAAAAGTCCACAGTCCAAAGTCCCATCTGAAACAAGGCAAGTCCCTTTTGCCTATGAGCCTGTAAAATCAAAAGCAAGTTAGTTACTTCCTAGATACAATAAGGATACAGGCATTGGGTAAGCATACCCTTTTCAAATGGGAGAAACTGGCCAAAACAAAGGGGCTACAGGCCCCATGAAAGTCTGAAATCCAATAGGGCAGTCATTAAACCTTAAAGTTCCAAAATGATCTCCTGTGACTCCATGTCTCACATCCAGGTCACACTGATGCAAGAGGTGAGTTCTCATGGTCTTGGGCAGCTCTGTCCCTGTGGCTTTACAGAGTACAGCCCCACTCCTGGGCTGTCCTTGAGTGTCTGCGACTTTTCCAGGCACATGGTGCAAGCTGTGGTGAATCTACATTCTGGGGTTGGGAGGACGGTGGCCCTCCTCTTCTCAAAGCTCCACTAGGTAGTGACCCAGTGAAGGCTGTGTGTGTGGGGGCTCCCACCCACATTTCCTTTCTGCCTTGCTCTAGCATAGGTTCTCCATGAGGGACACATGCCTGCAGCACACATCTGCCTGGACATCTGGGCATTTTCATATATCCTCTGAAATCTAGGCAGAGGTTGCCAAACCTCATTTCTTGACTTCTGGGTACCTGCAGGCTCAATGCCACATGGAAGCCACCAAGGCTTGGGGCTTGCACCCTCTGAAGCAACAGCCCAAGCTGTACATTGACTCAGACACAGAGCACCAAGTCTGGAGACTGCACACAGCAGGGGGTCCCTGGACCCAGCCCAGGAAACCATTTTTCCTTCCTAGGTCTTCATGCCTATGATGGGAAGGGTGCCTTGAATGTCTCTGACATGCCCTGGAGTCATTTTCCCCATGTCTTGGTGAGTAACATTTGGTTCCTCATTACTTATGCAAATTTTTGCAGCTGGCTTGAATTTCTCCCCAGAAAATGGGGTTTTCCAAATTTTTGTGCTCTGCTTCCTCTTGAGTGCTTTGCCACTTAGAAATTTCTTCTGCCAGATACCCTAAATTATCTCTCTCAAAGTTCAAAGTTCCACAGATCTCTAGGGCAGGGGCAAAATGCCGCCAGTCTCTTTGCATAGTAAGAGTGACCTCTACTCCAGTTCCCAAGAAGTTTTTCATCTCCATCTGAGTCCACCTCAGCCTGGAATTTATTGTCCATATAACTATTAGCATTTTGGCCAAAGCCATTCAACAAGTCTAGGAAGTGGAAGTTCCCAACTTTCCCACATTTTCCTGTTTTCTGAGCCTCCAAGTCTCTAGGAAGTTCCAAACTTTCCCACATTTTACTGTCTTCTTCTGCGTCCTCCAAACTGTTCCAACCTTTGCCTGCTACTCAGTTACAACATGAATTCTACATTTTCAGGTAACTTTATAGCAGCGCCCCACTACCTGGTACGAATTTACTGTATTAGTCCATTCTTGTGCTGCTATAAGGACATACCTAAGACTGGGTAATTTATAAAGAAAAAGAGGTTTAATGGACTCACAGTTTCACATGGCTAGGGGAGGCTCACAATCATGGCAGAAGATGAAGGAGGAGCAAAGGTACATCTTACATGGTGGCAGGCAAGAAAGCATGTGCAGGAGAACTGCCCATTATAAAACCATCAGATCTCATGAGACTTATTCACTATCACGAGAACAACACAGGAAAAACCCACCTGCATGATTCAATTACCTCCCCCTGGATCCCTCCCACAACAAGTGGAGATTGTAGGAGCTACAATTCAAGATGAGATTGGGGTGAGGACACAGCCAAACTATATCAATGGGCATTGTTGTCATGTTCCAAATCTCAGAGGAAAGGCTTTCAATTTTTCTCCATCAGTATCGCACTAGCTATGGGTCTGTCATATGGCTTCTATTATTTTGAGGTATGTTCCTTCTATATCCAGTTTTTTGAGGGTTTTTATAATAAACAAAAGTTAAATTTTATCAGTACTCTTTCAGCATTAATTGAAATAATCATATGGATTTGTTCATCATTCTACTGATATAATTTATTGCATTGTTTGCTTTGCATATGTTGAACCATCATTTCCTCACTTGCACAAATTTCACTTAGTCATAATGAATGACCTTTTTAATGTATTATTCAATTCAGTTTGCTAGCATTTTGTTGAGTATTTTTGCTTCAATTTTCATCAGTGATCTTGGCCTTTAGTTTTCTTTTCTTTTCTTTCTCTCTCTTTCTTTCTCTCCCTCTTTTCTTTCTCCTTTCCCTTCCCTTCCCTTTTCTCTTTTTTTCTCTTTCTTTCTTTCTTTCTTTTTCTTTCTTTCTCTCTCTCTCTCTCTCTCTCTTTCTTTCTTTCATGTCTTTGTCTGGTTTAGTATCTGGCTAATACTGGCCTCATGGAATGAGTGTGGAAGTATTCCCTCCTCTATTCTTTGAAAGAGTTTGAGTAGTGTTGGTATTGGCTCTTTAAATGTTTTCTAGAATTCAGCAGTGAAACCATCAGGTCTCAGGCTTTTCTTTGCTGGGAGACTTTTTAATATAGCTTTGAACTTGTTACTTGTTTTTGGTCTTTTAAGTTTTTGTAGTTCTTGATGGTTCAGTCTTGGGAAGTTGTATGTGTCTAAGAATTTATCCATTTTTTCTAGATTGTCCAATGTGTTGGCATATAGTTTCTCATAGTTGCCACTAAAGATCCCTTGATTTTCTGTGGTATAAGTTGTACTACCTCCTTTTTCATCTTCGATTTCATTAATTTGGTCCTTCTTGCTATTTTTCTTAGTCTGGCTAAGGTTTGTCAATTTTGTTTATTTTCTTAAAAAACTGACTTTTTGTTTTGTTGATCTTTTGTATTGATTTTTTCATTTCAAATTCATTTATTTCTGCTGTGATCAATATTACTTCTTTTCTTCTACTGATTTTGGATTTGGTTTGCTCTTGCTTTTCTAGTTCTTTAAGATGTATTTTTAGGTTATTTAAAGTTTTTTTTTTCTTTTTTGATGTAGGCACTTATAGCTGTAAACTTTCCTCTTAGTACAGCTTTTGCTATATCCCATTGAATTTAATGTTCTGTAAATATCCATTAGGTCCATTTGTTCTATAGTGTAGGCTTCTCTTTCTTCTTTCCTTCCTTCCTATCTTCCTTTTAGTTAGGGTGATTTTCTCTGGTGGTATAATTTAATTTCTTGTTGTTTATTTTTATTTTTCTGTATCCATTGTGTGTTTTTTTTAAATTTGAGGTTACCATATACATGGCTTGCAAATACTACCTTAGAATCCATTATTTTAAGCTGATAACAACTTAACACTTTGCATAAACAAGCAAGCAAGCAAAAATTAAAACTTACAAAAACTCTACACCTTAACTTCATCCCCCTGCTTTTTAAGATTTTGTTGTTTCTATTTATATCTTATTGTACTGTCTATGTCTTTAAAAATTGTTGTAGTTATTATGTTATTGATTTGTCTTTTAATCTTTCTACCTAACAGTAGTTTACACATCACAATTACAGTGTAATAGTATACTTTGTTTTTCTGTGTGCTTACTATTACCAGTGAGTTTTGCATGTTCAGATGATTTCTTACTGCTCATTAATGTTCTTTTCTTTCTGATTAAAATATTCCCTTTAGCATTTCTTTAGGACAGGTCTCCTGTTGATGAAAACTCTGTTTTTGTTTCTCTGGGAAAGTATTTTTCCTTCATGTTTGAAAAATATTTTTTGCTAGATATACTATTCTAGGGTAAAAGTTTTTTTTTTTTTTTTTCCTTCAGCACTTTAAATATGTTCTGCCACTCTCTCCTTACCTGGAAAGCTTCTGCTGAGGAGTGTGCTGCCAGATGTATCGGAGCTCCTTTGTATATTATTTGTTTCTTTTCTCTTTCTGCTTTTAGGATCCCTTCTTTATCCTTGATCTTTGGGAGTTTGTTTATTAAATGCCTTGAGGTAGTCTTCTTGGGTTAAATCTGCTTGGTGTTCTACAACCTTTTTGTACTTGGATATTAATCTTTCTCTAGGTTTGGGAAGTTCTCTGTTATCTGTTTGAATAAACTTTATACACCTATCTCTTTCTCTACTTTCTTTTTAAGGCCAAAAACTCTTAAATTTGCACTTTTGAGGCTACTGTCTAGATCTTGTAGTTTTGCCTCATTCTTTATTATTTTTTCCTTTGTCTCCTCTGACTGTATATTTTCAAATAGCCTGTCTTCCAGCTCACTAATTCTTCCTTCTGCTTGATCAACTATGCTATTAGAAAAGACTCTGATGCATTCTTCAATATGTCAACTGCATTTGCAACTCCAGAATTTCTGGTTGGTTCTTTTTAATTATTTCAAGCTTTTGTTAAATTTCTTTGATAAGAATATGAATTCCTTTTCTATGTTATCTTGAATTTCTTTGGGTTTCCTTAAAATAGCAATTTTAAATTCTCTATCTGAATGGTCACATATCTGTTTCTCCAGTATTTAGTTCATTTCATGAAGTTATGACTTCCTAGATGGTCTTGATGCTTATGGATGTTCACTGGTTTCTGGACATTGAAGGCTTATGTATTTATTGTAGTCTTTGCAGTCTGGGCTTATTTGTGCCTGTCATCCTTGTAAAGTCTTTCCAGGTATTTAAAAGGACTTTGGTGTTGTGATGTAACCCATATCTGCATTTGTGGGAACCTCACACCAAGGAATGCTGTGGTTCTTGCAGACTCATGGAGGTGCCGCCTTGGTGGTCTTGGATAAGACCTGGAAGAATTTTCTGGATTACCAAGCAGAGATTCTTGTTCCCTTCCCTTACTTTCTCCCAAAACAATGGAGTCTCTCTCTGTGATAAGCTCTCTGGAGCTGGAAGTGGGGTGACACAAGCACTCCTGTGGCTACCACCAATGGGACTGTGCTGGGTTAGAACTGAAGTCAGCACAGCACTGGGTCTTACTCAAGACCCACTGAAACCACTACCTGGCTACTGATTATGTTCACTCAAGGCCTAGAATCAGTCACCCCAAGAGCCTGTTTGGTGCTCTACCCTGCTGTGGCCAAGCTGGTACCTAAAGTGCAAGTTGTATTATTATTTCTTAATATGTCTACCTCCTCTACCGCTGTGAACTGCTTTAGTAAGTAATACCCGTGTCTTATTTTTCTCTGTATCTCTAACACAACATTTAACATAAACAAACTTTTAATAAATAATTTTTGGAAGAAGTTAATGAATGAACTAACAAAGAAAACAATAAATGAAATAATGAATAAAGAAAACTATTTGGCCTTTTCAATTCAGGTTTTTCATTATCCTTATGTGGAAAGTCCCCAGCTTTCATTTTGTGAATGAAAATATAACAATTTTTTTCTTCTTTTTCCAAATTACCCCAATTTGTCTGCTCTCCTAGCCTGCTGGATGACAGTCTTTCATCTCGAACTCCAGAACCCTTTCAATGCCTAAAAATAGATTCAGCCAAAAATCATTATCAGCACAGAATCTGGACAGACATCACCAAGTAAATAGAAATGGTGACCTCTTGCATTATTATATTATAGAATTTTCCCTGAAGTTTTTATTTAGAGAAAAGTAGAGAGACTGCTTTCTACTTATCATTATCTTTTATTTCATTCCTCAATTGTAAAGACACAGTTTTTAAAACATTATATAAAATTTAATCTTTCATTAAGAAGGAATGCACCCTACATCAATAAACATATATCAAGTGTACACTAATGCCTACTTTTCACATATATTATCTTATATATAATTTAATCAAACCAGGAAAATAAGAAACCAAGAAAAAATTATTGTTTCCTATTGGAAGACAAGAAATAAAAGAACATTAGCTATTCAAGGCCCAATCCCTGCCCCCATCACACAGATAGATTTTTCTCCTTATCATGCCAGAAGCTACAGAAAAACAGAAAGATTGGTTTTGTTCTCTGAGATCAAAAAACAAATGTATTCTCTTCTGTGATCTCCTCTGTCTGACAGAGGCATCCCTGCCTCACCTTGAGATAAGGAGAAGGATGATATGGTTGCCCTCTTAATCTCTCTCCATTTTTCTGCACCACTAGCAGATTTCCTCACACACTCCTGTCCCTTTCTATATGTATAGGACATGCATTAGCATCAGAATCACATAAGGAAACCTGCTATGGTCAGCAGACTCACAATATCAGCCCCTACACTGACCAAGTGGTTGTCATGGAATTTCCCTTCCTGTACTTTCAAATCTCCAAATAACTGCAATTTAGAACAGCCTGTTTGCGCACCTGGGGGCAAAAGAGGAGAAAAATTGTCAAAGCAGAAGAGGCAAAAGCACTTCAGGTAAGTAAAGTAACACCTTTTACTTCAGCTCCTCAATTCACTCATTCATAAATATGTAATTTCAAACATTTGGAGGATCTGACATTTTTCATTTTCAAGAAGGACTAAAACAAATGTGCTAAGAGAAATGTCTAACCTTTTTTAAGTATCTTATTCTTCCTGTGAAGAAAACACTAACAATCCTCATATTTGAATTGCATTTATATTTAGTGAAAATGCATTGTTAATCCTAACCTTAATATTCTAGATACAAATACTACAAACAATTTTTTTTTTTTGAGACACGGTCTTGCTCTGTTGCCCTGGCTGGAGTGCAGTGGATCACTGAAACCTCCACCTCCCGGTTCACATGATTCAAGTGATTCTCCTGCCTCAGCCTCCTGAGTAGCTGGGATTACAGGCACACGCCACTACGTCCAGTTACTTTTTGTATGTTTAGTAGAGACAGGGCTTCACCGTACTGGCCAAGGTAGTCTAGAACTCCTGACCTCAAGTGATCCACCCACCTTGGCCCCCCAAAGGGCCGGGATTACAGGTGTGAGCCACCACGCCTGGTCTAAACAGATGTTTTTGATGGAATAAATAGAAAAGGACAAGAAGCACAGGATTAAGCATTCTGTGAAACCTTCTTTGTTTTGAGTCAGTGAAGGAAATGCTTGTCAAAGCACATTACACCATAGTGAACCTGCTGGAAATAATTATTAAGTGTTTTCAAGTCACATGTGTAATCTAGTTATTCTTCTGCTCAGAACTACCTGTAAAAGGTAGTTTATCTGTCTCCATTTTAGTTAATAAGTTAGAAACTCTGGAGTTCATATGTGACCCTAGTCCCATGATAGTAGAGGTGGCGCACTGCCAATGGGCTAATTCTGCTTCTTCCCCCAAAGTCAATATGAACAGTAACACTAATCCCAGCCATCATCTACATTCTAAAATGATGCTAAGTGCTAAATAATGCTAAAGCAATTACATCTGGTATCATCTGAACTTAGAATATACCAGAAACTATACTCTTCTTTTAAACATATTGAAAACATGACTCTAAATAAATACAAGAAAGAATATTCACTTTTTATATGAAGTTATTTAAGTATCTTTGAATCTCACTACTCCTACAACTTGGTTAGAATTAGATGCCCAATGACATTTGCCTAAGTTTTAATTTCTCAACATAGCAGGGGTATTTTACATCTCATTTATCCCAATTTCCATATACTACACTGGATTAGGATCTTCTGGAGCCTTGCTTCTCAAAGTGCAATCCATACATCAGCAGCATCCTGGAGGTGTAGGGAACGGAGGCTTGTTAGAGAAGAAAAAACTCAGTCTCCATCCCCAATGGTCAATGGCATCAGAATTTGCAGTTTAACAAGACCTCAAGGTGATTCATATGTACATTCAAGTTTGAGAAGCATGCTTTAGAATAAAAATAGGCAAGCAAATTTCAGTATGTTTTGGTTAGGCATCAATGAGACAAAAGCAAACATATTAAAGTCCACAAGGACAAATAAGAACAAACTTTACAGGAAGGTGAAGCACAGAGCAGACTACATGGTGTGATTTTAAATTCTCTAAAAGGAATTAAGCAATAGTTCTTCTGTTGGGACAAACCAAACTCAGTAGCTTTCACATGTAGTTACCATTTCTCAAACATAATATGCCATTTCAGCAGAAAACAGCCATGTGTAATATTCCAAACCTTACTATGCACTTGTTGCAGAAATTTACTAAAAGTGTTTTCCATATACCTGGCTCTATGCAATGTTTTTTTATGTGCATAATTTCATTTAATTAATTATTCTATGGTGCTTCAGTTTCATATTCCTATTTTTTTCTCAGGACATAGCAGCTGCCAAAATGTATATGCAACTCAGAACCAATTTGAATGAAGATGGTTGAGTAGAAAACCAAGAAAATTGTCCCAGGCCTTAGGTTCCATAGTGGCTATAACTCTCAGTAAAGATGTTACAAATTTCTGACTCAGTGGAGCCCAGGATTGTAGAAAAAGCAAATGCCAGTAGAACATGTAAAAGGCCCCCAACATTCTTGGAATGTGGTAAAGACAGTGTTAGTCATGGGCCCATGGAGAGGCAAATGATGTGGGCCTGGAATTGAAGACCTCCTAGAGACAGGTAAAAGCTGGAGTGGAGTTACCAGAGTGTGCTCTTGAGGCAAAGATGAGTAGCACTCACTTTGGTCACAGCTCCCTGTTTGCCACAACCTGAAAGCTAAACATTCACAAAAGCCACCATCTGATATAAAGTGGACTCTGGTAAAATGCTTATTGGTGCTATTACTCATCCTGTGTTATTTAGTTTTCCCCTCACATCAACCGTAGTTTCATGGGCACTCAGGAGCCTGAATTTTAAACTACAATTTATTCTAAACAACTCCAAAGGGCTCAAATACATATAGGCATACACCCACTTTAAAATATGTAGTTAATTATATTTATGTAATTATAATTCTCATTTCCTGGTGGTATAACGAAAGTTAGTACTTAGATGATATGATAAGTGTTAATGACAGCTGGGCTAGCTGACTTATCACTTCTATAAATATTGGCTTCCGGAAATGCTGCTTCTCTGAGCACAAGTATCATTTTTTAAAGAATTGAAGGTTGAGGTTTTGGAAGAAATGTTTGCATTTTTACATGGCTTTACAAATGCATGTTAATAAGAACAAGTCTTTTTAGTTCTAGCAGCTATCCCTTTAAAGGAATACCATTGAAGGTTGTTTTTGTTTTTGTTTTTCCCATCTAACAGAGCTTAGTCTGTATTTGTCATGCACAAAAAGTCAAGAAGCGTTCTCCTTACTATTAATGTCCAACGAACCATGCAAGTAAACACAGGAGAAAATTAATATGTTCTACCTACATAGCAGCATCAATTAATATTGAGTGTGTTGGAAAAGAAAAATGTTGCTGGGATTAGCACCACAGGATACTATATAGATGCCAAGAAGAATTCCATAAAATCCTCAGATTGCAATTGAAGTTCTACGTACATTTTGACTTATCAGCCCTTATGTGAATGTGGCAATATACACCCCAATAGTAATAATAACTGTAACAGATAATTTTTTTTTTTTGAGATGGAGTTTTGCTCTTGTTGCCCAGGCTGGAGTTCAGTGGTGTGATAGCTGCTCACTGCAACCTCCGCCTCCCGGGTTCAAGCGATTCTCCTGTCTCAGCCTCCTGGGTAGTTGGGATTACAGGTGCACGCCACCATGCCAGGCTAATTTTTTTGTATTTTTAGTAGAGACAGGGTTTCATCATGTTGGCCAGGCTAGTCTTGAACTCCTGACCTCAGGTGATCCACCTGCCTCGGCCTCCCAGAGTGTTAGGATTACAGGCGTGAGCCACCGCGCCTGGCCAACAGATAATTTTTATGGAATGGCTACATGATTTGTACTAGTTTGTTTGTGTACGTTATCTCGCTTAATGCTTGCAGAAATCGTAGGAGCAGAAATTAATGAACTTATTTGGTGGTCCAAGACATTGAAGCACAGAAAGGTTATTTCCCAGCATACAGGTAAGAAATGAGGGAGGCAGAATTCAAATTCAGGCAGTCTGACTCCTGAGCCCAAGCTCTTAACCATCATGCTATGTTGATTCACAAGGAAGAAAGGGTTTTTCCAAACTCTCTTCTAAGACTTTTACTAGACAGGAGAGGAAGTTTCCAGCAGGTGTACTGAAAGAAGGCAGGCTGTTGGGAGTTCCCTCCAATGCCACAAACCTCTCAATGCTCAACGACTTGAAAGGGAGATCCAGACTCAGAACACTCACTTTTTCCTAAGGAGATTAATTTGTTGTGGTTTAAATGCAGAACAAGGGGAATAATGACAATTAATGGTCCTAAACATACTGCGGTGCCAAGAAGAACCCACTCAGTGCAGTTCTATGTTTCCCAGAAAGTCAAAAAAAAAAAAAAAAAAGAAAAGAAAACCCTAGGTCAGGGTAACAGAAAAAGAAATAAATTAACTAAAAGCATCCTTTCTGAAATCAGGAATCCAAATTGAACTGTTTAAGAAATGGGAGATGTTCTAAATACTGCTAATAACAACTAAAACACCAGGATAGTGATTTTGCAAAAAGTGAAGCGAGACTTGAAAGTTTCCCTGAGGAAGAAGGTCTGGGGACAATTGTCATCTGTATGCCGTACTTGTTTCATTTTCCAATCTATGTGCTTCCTTTTTCCCCAGCTAATTACCGGCTTCTCTGGGTCATGGAACAGTCATGTGCATTTTGGTATCTCTCATACAATGTCAGCACATTAAAGAAAGAGCTCAGGAGGCAAGTTTTTTCTCTTTCTACCTTCCTTACCCCTGCACTTGCTGTGCTCAGCCACTGTTTGCAGTATATTCCCACAGAAATAAGGTTCATTAAAATTGCATTAATAAATGATAGCAACTTATATGGCCTTCACCATCCCAGGTATTAAAACTTGACTCCGCCTGCTAGAGAAATGTTCCAGGTTTCCACTTCCATATGGAATAAGATTATAAAGCACCTTTAATCCAAGTGTCTGGTGAGATAACTAAAGTCTATGTTGAGCATGAGTAAACTCACATTCTGACATGCTTTCCTAATTCTCTACATATGTAATTTACTATAAGAAATATTCAGAGGACTCCTACTCACTAAAATACTAGGGAACTACTCTGGTTCACCCTATATTCTTTTCCTTCAGAGTGTCTGAACTGCTCTACTGTGTCTCAAGCTGGCTTGTCTCATGCTGTCCATGCCACATAATGTGCTTCTTGAGCAAGCTTTATATGTCATGCCTCAGCAGATGTAGATAATAAGCCAAGTTTGCCTCCTCCGTGCAGTTCTATGTTTCCCAGAAAGTCAAAAGAAGGAAGAAAAAGAGAAAAGCCTAAGCCAGAATAACAGAATAAAAATAAATTAACTAAAAGCCACCTTCCTAGAATCAGGAATCCAAACTGAACTGTCTAAGAAATGGAAGATGTTCTAACTTCAGCACTAGCAAAAGGTAAAAGATATCAACCTTGAGTAGACTTCTACTGTTCAAAATTAATGCATTTCCCTAAACATTCAGAACATCCATTCCCTTCAGAATGAATGCTGCCCCTTAAACAGAGAAGTCACTGGCCTCATAGCCTTGGCAAGACAGATTAAAGTTAGTATAACATTGGTTCATTTTCAGAATTATGTGTTATTCCATCTTTGCCATAATCTCTGTATATTACTTGTGCTAAAGCAGTTTTATTATTAAAGTTAGTTTCAATTTTGCACTGTAGAGAAGTGCAGTCATTAATTATCTTTTATGGAATGTGCTGCTTCTCTCTAATAAGCATAGAAAATGTCAACTGATGGCTCACATTCCTTGTTAGATCCCATGAATATCAAAGGATATTCAAAGGAATAAGAACCCAACTTCACTGCAAGGCTATAAATCTAAATTCCATAAGACCTTAGACAAGTTATTTAACTCCTCTTAGCTTGTGCCCTTAGCTGAAAAATTTGTATGAATGTAGCTACCTAAGAGAGTCAGTGTGATTAAGACGTTACATATCAGGCACCCTACTCAGTATCTGGTGTATGGTTAACACTCAGTATGGGTTAAGCATTATTATTATTATTATTCCTAACTATTTAATACTTGAGTATTTGCTATCATATCCCTCTTTTCTGGCATCATGAACCTTCCTGGATACCATCTTTAAATGCCACCCTGGAGACAGTTGTTTCACATAAGGATTCTTGAGATTAATTGAAGACACTGCACAGGACTGCAATTTTCCACTAAGTAATTTTTTTTTTTTTTTTTTTTTTGGCTTAGAGTCTCACTCTGTTACGCAGGCTGGAGTGCAGTGGAGCAATCTCGGCTCACTGCAGCCTCCATCTCCCAGGTTCAAGTGATTCTCTTGCCTCAGCCTCCTTCAGTAGCTGGGATTACAGGTGTGTGCCACCATGCCCAGCTAATGTTTTTGTAGTTTTAGTAGAGATGTGGGTTTCGCCATGTTGGCCAGGCTGGTTTTGAACTCCTGACCTCAAATGATCTGCCTACCTCAGCCTCCCAAAGTGTTGGAATTACAGGTGTGAGCCACCATGCCCAGCCTCCACTAAATATTTTTAACATACAGCTTCTCTTTATGCAGAACTTCATTCACCTCTTTTCATTCTGATGTTGAGCCCACCCTATCTCTATCCATGTTTTTTTCTGTGCCCATTGCAGCTTGAAGGCAATTCCATCAACAGGCTTTAGTCTTCCTCTATCAGGTATGATTTATTATATAACTGCAGGGTCTGGATTAAAATAGTCAAAATGTGATTAGCTATGAACAAAAGCAAAACACGATAAAGAATGACATAGCCACTGTCTTGTCCTTCAGGATGTTAAAGTTGATCACATTTTCCTAGTTCAGTAGGAAAAAGCTCATTGTGCTGAAAGCATTAGGGCAGTGTGATTAAGTGCTACTGTGTATAATTTGATATTAGGTATTACTTGCATAATACCTGTCTCTTCCTGCCACTGAAGCTAACCCATTTGCAAACATTAATGTGGTGCAATTGAATGCAAATCATTTTTGGTGTGTCTCCTTGGATGTAGTAGAGTTAAAATGATAACAATAATCATAAAATGTGTTTTGTTTGTAAGGCAAATGATTAGCAATAAAGATGAATAATAACTTTTTATTAAAAATTAGAGTAAATAACAGATGGCTGAACCCTTGGATACCCTAGCAGAAAAAAATCGTTGGTGTTCTAGCTTGAGCACTTTGGGAAATGTGTGTAGCACTTACTTTCTGATGAGTAACAGCATGTAGCATTGTTAAGCTTGATTAAGCAAATTTAATTAGTGTTAGGCAATGCATTTCTGTAAGTGAATAAAATATATTTCAGTTTAGGCATGACTGTTAATCTTTATGAAATAAAAGTTAAAATGTAGCTATAAAATATTAAAATTGCGATAAAAAGGTTTTTTTTTTTTAAAGTAAAATTTCCTGAAGTATTTTTTAACTCTACAATGAAAAGAAAGGTGGCAGAAGTAAAATAGTAACATGAGCTGTGCATTGCCAACTGGGATACTTGTTTCAAAATGGCCCTAGGACCACATTACTATATAACCACACTTTATAACATTCTCCAAACATGGGTGTTTTATTTTACAGGACTTATTTAGGTTTCTGGATACTAAAGACAGGAAGAAAATGTAGATCTCACCTTAGAAAATAAAATGAGCTCAGGAAAAATAAGAAAAATAAATTTTAAAATTCAGAAACTATTCAAATAGGATATTCTCAAGGTTGGAAAAAAAACTACATCCCAAACTAACTTGAGACTTTTCAAATCTAAATTAATACTTTTAATGCTGGTCAATGATAATTAATTAAATAGACCCTGGCAGAATGCAAGATCTTTTGCATCACACAGTTAGCATTCCTGACAAATACTGCAACCTGAGAAAGCACAGGCACAAGATTTTAAGGAGTTTCCCATATGGATAGTCAACACAATCTACCATGCTAGTAGAAAAATCTGGAAAACTTTATTTTCTAACTTTGCTTAAAATTATTCTGTCTCTTCTTTTCTCTGATTCTCTTTTCCTTACTTTCTTTCTCTTTTCTCACATCAGCTGCTCTAAAGTTTCTTAAAAATTGGTCATAATAAAGTGTGTGTGTGTTTGTGTGTGTGTGCAGTTGGGGAAGGGGGAATATTTGAGCTTAGCCACTTTATAGGAAAACAAGAGTATCAACCATTACCAACACTG
Source organism: Homo sapiens (assembly GCF_000001405.40). Lineage (NCBI taxonomy): Eukaryota > Metazoa > Chordata > Mammalia > Primates > Hominidae > Homo > Homo sapiens. Next base: position 110,717,695 of record NC_000003.12, read on the forward strand.
CTCCCCTTCAAAAGTTGTCAAGTACCGATAGGATATCTAAAAATGGTAACTACATACGTTGTTCCCAAGAACATGCCTTGTCCCATAGGGAGACCCCTCCTCACTAGAGTAGGAGCGTGAGACTATAGACCTCCAGAGGTATGGCGTCCTTGACCAAAGACATGGGGAAGAACGGAGTGTGAGAAAATGAAAAGATTGGTATGTATCCATAGTAAGGAGATGGATATAAAGTCAGAATGGGAACAGTATCCTCCATTCAGAACACTCATGTCATTTACTCATTCAGTCAATATTTGTTGTGCACCTATTATATACCAGACACTATGCTAGCTTCTAGGGATACAAAACAGCAGAACTGACAGTTATTAGGCTTCACAGAACTTTCAGATGATCAATCCATAAGCTTACCAGAGTAAAGAAACAAGAAAATTCCACAAAATCCTTCATAATCTGGCTCTTGTTCACTTCTCTTATCTTACTTCACATCACTATTGACTCACCACCATTGTCCTATCCATACCAAACTAATTGAAGCTTCACCGACGTACATGATCATACTTTCCTGACTTTGTTTTGTACAAACCATATGGACTTACCCTCTTCCATGGGTAAATACAAAAGACTACATGTGTAAATATATATATTTTTTTCTTAATTTCTTTAAAAGTCATATAATAGCAAAAATTATAACCCTGTATTATTGATATTAAAGCTATATCAAACGGCTGGGTGCAGTGGCTCATGCCTGTAATCCCAGCTCTTTGGGAGGCCAAAGGAGGCAAACCACTTGAGGTCAGGAGTTTGAGACCAGCCTTCCCAAAATGGTGAAACCCCATCTCTACTAAAAATAAAAAAATTAGCTGGGTGTGGTGGTGGGTACCTGTAATTCCAGATACTTGGGAGGCTGAGGCAGGGGAATCACTTGAACCCAGGAGACGAAGGTGGCAGTCCAGCTTGGTGACAGAGCAAGACCTTGTCTAAAAAAAAACACACACACACCCAAAACTGTATTAATGGGATATATATCACAACGATAGCACAAAAGATGTGAGGTAAGTGAAACTATACTGTTTAATTTTTCTATATTTTACTGACAGTAATTCATTGGTAACTTTTAGTATTCTTTTTTAATTTTTCTATCATGTTTTGATAATATCCCTCAGTATAAATATTTTAATCATTGTTCTAGTAATTACAAAATATATACTTAACTATTGGCAGTCTATTTAGAATCGTATTTTGCCACTTCTATCGCAATTTAGAAACCTTACGTTTATACAGATTCCATTATTCTTCCTTCTTCATCATAGTTATCATAATTATATTACATCCCTATGCATTGGAAACACCATCAGACAATGTTATTCACTTTGTTTTCAACTGTCAAATATATTTAAAAGAACTCAAGAGAAGACGCCTGCTCTATTTAGCAATTCCGTGGCTTCTCCTTCATTCCTGGTGTTCCAAGTTTCTTTCCTGTTTTTATATTTTTCAGTTCAAAATTTCTGTCTGCTTTTTCTTTACATGACATATTCCCTTGTCAATCCATTCTATTTTAACATTTTTTTTCCAAGAGTGTTTGCAATTACTCTTTCAAGCATATATAATAGCTGCTTTAAAATATTTGTCAGGTAATTTCTATCTTGTCATTGGCATTTGTTAATCATCTTTCCCCAGGTGAATTGTGATCTTTGTGATTTTGTGTAACCAAAGTAATTTTTTATTGTATCCTGGATACTTTGAACAATATCTTATGACAATCTATATCTTGTTTAAACCATATGGAGAATGTTAATATTTTTTATTTAGCAGACACTTTACCTGGTTGGTTTGAGCTCACAGGTTACAATACATTTTCTGTGGCCTATAGTTCCAAAGTCAGTTATATTACCACTGCCATTGTAGTTAAGGGTGCCAGATAAAATACCCAGCACCAGATATTGCGTGAGACATACATATACCAGAAATATGTATATTCACTATTTATCTGAAATTCAAATTAAACTGGCATCCTATATTTTTTTTTTGCTAAATATGACAGCCCTATTTGCAGTGCTATTAGAATTTGTCCTGCATGTTAACTATCCATGTAGCTATACCTTATTTCAGTTGCCAAAGCTATTGGCATGATAATAAGGATAAGACTCTAAGTGCAGGTCAAGGATGAGCCTAGTACTTCACTTTTTCACACTTTCCCTTTTCTGGTTCCCTGGGGCTCCCCCTTTTATTCCTTTGGCCAGAAACTGCCAACTTCTGTAACCGTACTACATGAGGAGAAAGGATGCAGACAAAGGAAAAGTAAAAATCAACAGGCTTTGGCATCACCCTCATGGAGACATGGTTCCACCAAAAAGAAAGGAAGGCTCCTCTTCCACAGTATGCCACCACCCTCAATGTACGACAGCTTTGTCCTGGGGATGTAGAGAATAGAATAAAAGGAAAGAAAAAAATAGGGTATCTTTGCCATTATCTCTGAACTTTAGAATTTCTATTTTCTTCTCCTTAAGCCAGAACTACAGGATTTCTCCCAGATCTCTATCTGTCCCACAGTGTTCATGTCAGGGTTTCACATTGCTATTAAATTTATGCTAGGGCATCCTGAAGGGGAAAAAAATGGTAAATGCCCTGCCAGTTCAGTGGTACTTCAAAATCTGGTGTTCTCTTCCAATTTACATGCTAATATTTACTTTGCAGAGTTTTTAAATAGCTGCCCATGGATTCTCTCATGTTTATAATTGCTTCCAGTGGAAGAGGAAGGTTGATGTGTTTACCTCATCTTACCCAGAACTGAAATTTCCAATGTTAACTCTTAGAAGACCGCAGTAAGATAAGATACATATTGTAATCCCTGTGGAAGCCAATAAGAAATCATGTGAATGTACATGGCAATAAAGCCAAAAGAATAACTGAAATAGTATACTAAAATGATTGTTTATCACAAAAGAAGGTAATAAAGGAAGAACAGATAAACCAGAAAAAAATGAGATGAAAAAAATAAGTAGCAAATAGCAGACATAAATATTATCATGTTAATAATTACATTAAATAGAAATAGGCCCCTATATATGTTATTTTTGGTAGGACTAGAGAATACCAAAGAACACCCTGTTAGTAGCTTCTTAAAATTTAATTTAGGATGGAGCTTAGAGGATGGGAGTCAAGAACAGCCTTAAGTTTTCAAGATGGTTGTCTGTGGGATAGAAAGGGTGGAGAAGGGAGCTTTCTGGAAAATGTCTGGGAAGACAGCATACCTAGGCTAAACATGGAGGTTACTCTTAGAAAAAAATGGAATATTAATGACTTTAGCTACTTCTGGGTATCTAAATTTTACCTTTCATTCTCAAGCACATTTAGTGATAGATCTTCCTTTAAGACACACTCTTACTAGATATTTAAAAAAAAAATCACTGAGACTAGCCAAAGCCTTTGGTACCTTTGGTTAGTTTGTATAAAGTACATACTAGCCATCAGGTCCCATGCCTCTCTCCATGGAGAGACAGATGATAGATTAATTGATAGATAGATGGATGGATAATAGATGACCTTCATACTAATCAAAACTTACACAGTAGGTATTATGTGCCCATTGTATAGTTGAGTAAACAGATAGCTTAAAAGGGTAAATAATTTGCCCAAGATAATACAGTCATGAACCAATGGAGCTCAGATTTTGAATCTATTAATTGTCTTCAAATCAAACACGTTCTTTCCTCTATATAATACTTTCTCCCTATAGAACACCTTAGCGCCTACAACAGATAAAGTGAAGAGACTGCACTAGGATCATTATCAAGAGTCTTATGTAGGATGAAAGCAAGAAGACAGATTTAGACTCCAACAATCTAAGGATAAATGAAAAAGCATAAGAAGTAGACAGAGACCTTTCAACTTACTAAATGTTCATGTCATACTGCCAGTTCCCAGAAGAAAAGGGAAAATGCCTGGCTGATGATTGAAGAGGTAAACAAGTGAAGCAAATATCAACATTTCATGAACAATCAATCATCTGAATACATGTCATTAACCAAAAGTCCATTGTATCTGACAATTATCCAATTGAAATCAGTCATTTTTCAAAATAAGGGCAATATTTGACATTTCTAACAAGTGTTAAAAGACAAGAATCAATTTAAATAAAACTATATTCTAATCAAAGTCAAATTAAAATTCTAGAGATGCAGAGCACCTGAGTATAAGCTTTTTGCAGAACTTTAACAAACAGAACTCAAAGTATACTAAATTACTCAAATGTTTTTTAATCTTTTAAAATAATTCTGCATTTCATTTTATTAAGACATACCAAGATAGTTTTTAATTCAATCAAATTAGAGGTAATTTTCTTCTCTGTGGTGAACATGTAATAAAGACATTATTCATTCAATGTATTTTTGGAAGACAGAACTTAAAAGTATACTTGCATTTAAATAGAAAAGTATGAATGGTCCTACCTACACTCCTACATCGTATATTAATGCCAAAGGACTCCACACCTCTGGTGTTCCTATACTTATTTGCTATAGTGATATTGGGTGGAGTTAAGCCTGATCTTATTTATAGCAATAACACTTTTTTCAATGAAGACATAATAATAATCTTTTACTTGTATTGCAGTTTTTCAGCACCACTCTGTGTTTTAGAATGGGACTCTGCTAAAAAGTAATTCAGCAATAGTAGGCAGTACAAATTCACTGAAGAATTGCTCTCATACAAGTGAACATGGCCTGTAATGAAGGAATCTGGGAACCTGGCCCCCAGAGATATATGGAAGAGTCAGACTGCCTGCTTTTTAAAATTCCTAGGAAGAAGGAAGAAAAAGTTAACATTTTGTGAAGCACATACCATGCACCAGGTCCATGAAATTATCTCATTTAAACCTGACAACTAAACCGATTTTTACAGGGGAGAAAGCCAAGATTCAGCTTCTCAGATAAGAGATTTCCATTTCACCGCATGTTCTCACTTACAAGTGGGAGCTTAATGATGAGAGCACATGGACACATTCGGGGAAACAACACACACTGGGGGCTGTTGGGGGGTTGGAGGGAGGGAGAACATCAGGAAGAATAGCTAATGGATGCTGGGCTTAATATCTAGGTGATGGCTTGATCTGTGCAGCAAACCACCATGGCACACGTTTACCTGTGTAACAAACCTGCACATCCTGCATGTGTACCCCAGAACTTAAAATAAAAGTTGATGAAAAAAGAAAAAGAAAACCAAAGGTCCCTGATTGTAGGATATTGTGCTTCTATCTGCCTTTGAGATTCAAACACCTGTTATACCAATGTACAATTTTATTTCCCCCGCAAATAAAACATATGGTAAATTTGCGGGGCTAACATTCTACTCTGCATCCTTTTAGTCACTATTCCAAACTGTTGATTTCACTAACACTACTAACAACTTTATAAAAGTATTATAGGTTATGTTGCAATCTGTCTCAACACTAATATAGGATGTAATATATCATTATACATTTAAGATATAATATGTCATTACATCTTAAAAATAATAATTACAATAATCTATAGTACTGCCTATCAGCAGTGACAAATTATATATTTAATGACTTTAAAACCTATCCTACAGGCATGTGCAAGGCTATATGTACAATATGTATGTAGATGACAGCTTTATTTCTAATATTGAAAATTTGAAGAAAGGAGTAATATCCAACAAAAACAAAAGGGTTAAATGATAATGCAACCCCACATAGTCATTAAAAATAATGTAATCTGTTTTAATTGGCATACAAAATGTCCGTGATAGACAGAATGGTCATATTTTGGTAAAGATATACATATATATATCTGGGTATATAAACCTATATATACTGAAAAAATACATGTGTTTGTACAGATAAAGACCTGGAAGTTCATAAATTGCAATGGTCTTCTCTGCAGAGTAGGATGAAGTGTGCTGCCATTTTAAGAAGAAACAATCATGCCATGGAATTGAAACTCTGTGGCTAGAATTGAAGGTGAACTCTAGGAAATGAGTGACCTCTGGCTGGCAGGAGAAAGAAAATGGGTCATAGTTTCTACAACCATTAAAAAAAAAATTCTATTTGGCCAACAACTTGGTTGGATTTGGGAGAGTACTCTAAGACTCGGAAGAGAATGCAGTCTGGCTGACACCTTGATTTCTGCCTGTGCAACTCTGAGCAGAGGACTCAGTCCGCTGTGCCCAGACTTCTGACTTACAGATCTGTGAAATAATGTGTCTGTTGTTTTTAGCTGTTAAGTTTATAATAATTTCTCACACAGCAATAGAAAACCAATATAATCATTCAGCATGACAACTACAGAAATGCTTATACAATCTCATTAAAAAAACTATAATATAACAAACATAAAAAGATCGGATTTCAAAATGATCTTTTGTTTACTATATTGAATAATATTATTAAGATATGTTCCTGAACAGAGTTTTAATTTAAATATTAAGCAAAAAGAAAGGGTCTCAGAGTGGTACAGATTCAAAATCATCTATAATTCTGCATTTTCAGTTTTTAAAATATATATGAATATCTTCAATTAGGTGACATGTAGGACTAAATAATACATTTTGATTACAGATTAGTAAATTGTAGTGGAACAAACTAAAAACTTTCAGTGTTTCAAAAGCACCTGTTTGTTATCTTAAGGCAAGTAGAAACCTTCAATGGCATCTCAACATATTCAAAGTACATTGTAAACTTCAGCCTGACAACATTTTCCACAATTAGATTCTGATATTTTTTCTCAGCCTATAATCCGACTTTGCCTTACTGATAGTCTACTTGTTGTTTGTTTTCTTCCCTTTTATAATGCCTTTGCTTATGACACTTCCTTAGCCTGCTCCTTAGGCAACTCACCAGCTTAGCCTCTTACCAGCTAGGCAAGGTTTGGCTCACCTCTACTAAGAACGCTGCCCTCTTCCTTACTTGCTCGCTGCACATAGAACTGGTCTCTCTCTCTCCATATTTTCAAAGATCTTTATTGGTTTTACTAGAATAAGACATATTCTCCTCTTCTTTGTTTTAGGTTTATATGCATGTGTGATATCACCCTCATTAGACTGCGAGTTCCACAATGTCAGGGACCATCCCATTCCTGATCTGCAGTATGTGGCAGGGGACTATACATCTAGCTCATGATCCAAAAAATGATTATTAAACTTTTAAAGCTTTTACTTTGTCAATACACAAGAACAAAATACAAACTATGATGTACCTAATTTTAATTTAAGAAGGCCTAAGTCAAAATAGAGATCTGATGAGAAATAGAGAAATTCAGATTTTTTAAAATATGAGAACAATTTTGCTCAGAGATTGAACAAACCATAGCAATTGCTAAATGAAATTGGAAGTGCAATAAAAGGGGCTCTGAAGAGAAGGAAGGTCATATTTAAGAACTAAAAATAAAGAACAATATGTATAATATTCACTACACCTCTATAGTTTCTGCTGTAGCATTTTACATTATTCAAATCCTTTTATCATTGCCTATGACAATATTTGCTTTCCTTATGAATTCATTTTCAGTACAATGTTGTACTGCAGTTGATTTTGAAAGATATTCTAATTTAAGATTATCAGAATTAGACAGGGTACTACATTGACTGAATAACCTGAAGTTTTATGCATCTGAATTTCAAAATGCCTCAAACATAACTAAAATTGCTGCAAGCCCAAGAGAAATGTAAAGTAGTACATACTAGTAACAGTTTACTATCTGTAGTTTGCATGCAATTATTTTACACTTTCAGAAAATAATATCAATGTGCTCATGTAAAATACAAATAATACAAAAGGCTGTTTGAGACTCCATTCAGTTAACTAGTTATTGAGTACATAGTGTATATAAGATCTAGTATTATAATGTATGAATTACATACAAGGAAAAAGAAGGATAGAAAGAAGAAAACAAAGTTAACTAAATGTTTTTAGTGTTCTACCTATGTGAGAACCAACCTTAGAAGAGTAATAATAGCTAGTACTTCTTGAGTGTTTATTATTTCTAGATATTCTGAATTACATCATTCAGATATTCTGGATTACATCATTTAAAGTTTTAAAACAAACCTATGAATTTAACATTATTATTTTTCCCATTTTTCAGATGAGAAAATTGCAGCACAGAATTTAAGTAATTCACTAAATGTTGTAGAGCTAAGAATTTCAAAGGTGAAACTTGAATTTAAGCAGGCAAGCACTGTGTACTTAACCCCTACCTTACATACTTCCTGGTTGGTTTTATTATTCCATTTCACAGAGCAAGAACTTGAGGCTCAGAGAGATTAAATAGGCTACCAAAGTAGACATCTTTAATCAATGACAGAGTCAGCATTCAAAATCAAATATGTTTGATTCCAAATGCTTTGCTGATTCCTCTACACAGCTTCCAAAACTACATGAAATAAAATATTAATAAAATATATTCAAACTATATTCTATCTCTTCTATGATTTAAATACAAACTACATTCATTTCTCGCTGTGTGACATTAGGCAAGCCACTTTATCAACTTTTGCTTTAGTTCTCTCATCTGTATAATGAGGATAATAATTCATCGTACCTCAAAATAATTGTTTGGCGCATTGAATAGAATATGTAAAGCTACTAAACAGTGCCTAACATAAACTTCTTATTAATATTATCAGTATCATTATTATTACAATTTGTAAATTATTGTACTTAGGGAGATAGAGTGTATATATGTCTGTGTGTGTATATACTATTAATACTAATGTTATAATTAGTATAATACTGTATTTAAATATATATAAAAATGAAAATATCTGTAAATATCTACTAATATATAATATTCATTGTAGTGTATTATATATATAAACACATATATATTAGTGGTATATGTATACACTACTATATAATACTATTCAATCTATTAGTAGTATATATGTATGTGTGTATATATGCAGCACATATATATGTATACACACATACATATATATGCAGCACTTATATATACTTGCATACATATACAAATATATACATAGTATATGTATGTATGTCTGTGTGTGTGTGTGTGTATATACACACACACACACCCTCCTAATAGGTTGAATTCTGAACTAAGCACTTTTTCAACTTTATTTCACCTCAACAATTCCATTAAGTTGTAGTAAAACTCATCTTTAAAACTGCACAGATAATGAGAAAACTCATCATTTGACAGATGATGAAAATGAAGCTTTGAAAAGTTAAGGAAGTTGCCTAAGATCATACAGCCAGTGAGTGGCAAGACCAGATATCAAACCTGGGTTTATATGACTCCAAGGCCCACAAAGTAGTATGTAATTAGTGTCAAAAGGAAGGTGTAATCAGCTGGTTGAAGTGCAAGGGTGTTTACAACTAATTTACCACAACCAGTTACAGATTCTTTGTTCCTTCCCCACTCCCAATGCTCCACTTGACTAGCAAAAAAAAAAAAAAAAAAGAAAAAGAAAGAAAAGAAAAAAGAAAAGAAGGATGTAATCCAAGTGCTACAAAAGTTCAGAGAATGCAGAACATTTTTTGCTTAGATGATTGAGAACAGTTTCCCTGGGTGGGTTGACATTTGAGCTTAGCTGTAAAGGTAGATAGAATTTCAATAGATAAGAGGTATGTCTTTTGAAGGACAAAACAAGCTTACCTCGAACAGATGAGCAAAGGTCTTGAGATCAGGTACAATCCATTCGGCATTGTAGGAAAAAATAGAAGATAGAGCTGGAAAGGAGAGCTAATGTTAACTCCATGAGTGCAGGGCCTGTGCTCCTAGAATTATGCTGTTTAATACAGCAACCATGAGATACATGTGACATCTAAAATGTGGCTAGGGAGACTAAGGGACTGAACTTTTAATTTAACTTAAAATTAAATTTTAAAACTGCTACTTGATTCAGTTATTGAAAAATTTCAAGTATGTTTGAACTACTTAGATATGTAGATCTTTTTCAACTGTGCATGTTATGAAGTCTAAATACAAATTAGTAATTTTCGGCTGGGCGCAGTGGCTCATGCCTGTAACCCCAGCACTTTGGGAGGCCGAGGCAGGTGGATCACCTGAGATCAGGAGTTCGAGACCAGCCTGGCCAACATGGTGAAACCACCTCTCTACTAAAAATACAAAATTAGCCGGGTGTGGTGGCTCACTCCTGTAGTCCCAGCTACTTGGGAAGCTGAGGCAGGATAATCACTTGAACCTGGGAGGCGGAAGCTGCAGTGAGCTGAGATCACACCACTGCACTGCAGCCTGGGCAAGACAAAGCCAGAGTCCATCTCAAAATAAATAAATAAATAAGTAATTTTCAATGAAAATTTACAATCTGATTGAGATGTGCTGCTAAGTATAAAATATACATTGAATTCTTAATATTTATTTTAAAAGAATATAAATAGCTCCTTGACAAATTTTCATATTGATTACATTTTGATCTTTTATATATTTTGTATATGTTGGATTAAATATAATGCATTATTTAAATTAACTTTACCCATTTATTTTAACTTTTCAATATGACTTCTAAAAAATTTTAAATTACATATGTGACTTGAATTAAATTTCTTTTAGACAGAGATATTCTAGCCTATTCCTGGCACACAGTGGGCACTCCATAAAATACTTTTTAACCAACTGCCGTGGAAACCAGATTGTAACCTCAAAGTCAGGCTGAGGATCTTGTATTTTAGTCAATAGATAAGAGAGCCACTAAAACTTCTCAGTAAGGAAAGTGATATGCTCAGAGTACTATTTTAGAAGGTTCTATCAGGAAGACTAATACAGAGGAGAAATTGAAGTTAGATTAGAAGTATATTGAAATATTAAAACAGGGCCTAAACACATACCTCTTCTCCACAAATTCTTCCAAAGCAGCTCAGCCTGGTAGCATAACATTGTGTAAATGTTCCATGTTTCGCATGAGAACGCCAAACACTCTTACATGTGAAAGGCAATTCCTTTTTAAGTCAAGTCTTACCCCTCTATGCACCTAATTTTATCACTGTTGCTTTTAAAGAAAATGAATCAATGCAGTTAATCTCTGTATAGTGTCATGTGGGATGAAACTCCCTTTATTACAGCAATGGTCTGATTACAGCATCATAGCATAATTTTGAAATATGCACAAATGGAACTACAGGTATGAAAAAGCCTCAATATTACTCTCAACAGAGCAAACAGAGTTTTCTTGTTTAATACATGTCTGATTGTGCTATTTCCTGTTGAAAACGTTAATGCTATACCATGGCTTAAAGGATCAATTCCAGACTCAGCAACCCTTCCCCAACTAATCCTATTCTACCTCAACTTTCTGTAATGCCCTTCTATAAACAGTGACTCATTCAGGTCTTTTTCAGTAGCAAGTGACATAAATCCAACCCAAGCTAGTCAAAGAACCTGTTGGTCCCACAAAAGGTAAATAAATGTCAATACATAGAAAGACACTGAATAGATTAGTGGATGAATGGCTATCCTGATACTGTTGATCACTAGATGCTGGCCTCATTTACTCCTGGTGCAGAAAAATCTGTTCCCTGTGGCAGAATAACTGTCTGTCAGCAACCCTATCTCATTTTCTTCCAACTCCTTGACCAAAAATGCAGAACACCTCTTCCTCCACTCCAAAAAAGAAAAATGCTACCACATGGAGAGTGTGCACCATGTTCCAAGCACGATTCCACCTACTTTTCATGTAAGTGATCTGATCCTCACAACAACCCAATTATCATCCCCATTTTAGAGATGGGGAAACTGAAGCCTAGAGAGGTGAAGTAACTTGCCCAAAATCACCAAATTGAGACATGGCAGGGCTGGAGTGTGAAGTCAAATAGGCAGACTCTGACATCCAAGCACCTCTACAGAATCACTGTGGCCAGGGGAAAAAGAATTTTGATTGGCTATTCCTGAGTCATTGGTTCCCCCATGGAGGAGCGAAGGAGTGCTGCAACTGACAGCCCCACCAGAACACAGGACATGATTGAAGTAGGAGAGAGAGGTAGGCAGATCAAAACAACAGGGTCTGGAGGGAGTCTATAGTCCAACTATAGTCAAAAGAACAAGTCAGCCTTTTTAAAATTTACCATGCACGGATTTTCCTCTAACATCTATCACTCTTTCCACTCCCACTTCCCAACTCTCTTCCTGGAGAATTGCTATTTATTAGTCTACGAGGCCAACCTCCAGCAACAAACAACCCTGTTAGCAAAGTTTCTCAAGTTCTCATGGGCAGAATAAATCACTACCTACTGTGTGCTCCTTTCATGTCCTAGGCACCCCAGCATCGGTAGTGCAGACACAAGTTCCGCGTGGCAATCTTGTCATTTTGAGATAACCAGGTGGGAAGGGCTCCCTGGCAGAGCCTCCAACCAACCTGTGCACTGGGAGGAACGCACACTGGGGTGGAGCCACAGAATTCTCACCATTTGCAGCAGGGAGGACTTGCCCTTCCTCTTCCTGGGTGGAACCTGGAATTCAATTGGCCAGGAGGGAAGCCCAAGGGCAAGAAGCACACGCTGTCGCTTTGCTAAGAGTCTCTGTTTCCCCCTTTTTTTCCCTTTTGCCCAAGAAATCCCATTTTTCTCACTCTTCAAATAGTCTGCGAGCCTAAATTTTCATGGCGGTGTGATAAAGACCCCGTCTTCAGCTGAACTAAATAAGGAAGCAGTTCCGCAACAAGTTCTACTTCTGTAATGGCAAGACTCCGTCAAGCAGAAGAAAAGAAAAATAAACCTCCAACACCTTTTTCCTCCAGTTATTCATAATTATTTCTTCGGAACACCTCAGGATCTTGAGATTAACACTGTCCAACTCCACTCATGGGTTTCCTTTGATACCAGGCATTGGTGATGGCTTCCCTCTACTCTACTCTTGCCTATCTGTTTTCTTTATTCATCTGTTAATTTTTCAGTGTAGAATCCTGGCATGAGGGACGCCCATGGCAGGAGTCACTGGGAATGTCCCCATTTGGGGGTTCATTTTATTGGTTTACATTTATTTGTTTTGATGTCTGTCTCTCCCATGAGTCTTGGAACTACTTAACGGTGAGTATTGTGACCTAAATCACCTTGTTATCCCTAATGTTAAAAGGAGTTCCTGGCCACAGTAGAGATTTAGTGGATTTGTTTCCTTGAATAGAAGAAAGAAACAAGGAGGAGGAAGGGAGCATAGGAAGGAACGAGAAAAAAAAAACGAAAGAAAGAAAAAAAAAGTGAGATTATTCCAGTATCTACATATTTCTTAGGAAAGGGCAAATAAGCCACATGTGCAACTAAAACTTAAGTCAAATAAACAGTTTTTAAATTTATAATGGTAAAAAATTAAATTAATGAAACAGTGAAACAATTCTTGTTGTTGGAGAAAATTTTCAGAAACAAGCTTTTTTCTTAAGACCTTGGGCACTTTTGCCTTTATATCATATGGCGAATTCAAGCTATTGTGGTAATGCAAGAAAATTGGGTTGATTAAAGTAAATCTACCTCCATTCTAAACTACCCAGAAAAGTAGTTCTGCCCCTCTCTGTCATATTATAGGATATTTCTAAACTACCCAGAAAAGTAGTTTAGAATAGAGGACTACTCAACAGATGATTTTGCCCTAACCTCAATCTGTCCTTTGAAAAGAGTAAGTTGCATCACCCTGAGTTTGGAATTGGCACTGACCTTGTACATGTTACTGGCTCCCTGCAGCCCAGTTTCATCTCTTCCTCTACCCAGGGCAGAGTAGTGTGGTTAGAAACAGTTGACGGCTGAACCCCTGAGAAGGAGATCTCACTGATAAAAAGTGGTTTTTCCTTGATGTGATGTTTTATTAATAAAAAAAAGCTTGTTTCTGACCCTAAAGGCAAATGTAAGAGGCAATTTCTTAGGAGTAAAATCTGCAACTCTCTACAAAGTTAATGCAAGCATTTGACACAACCAGAGTGGTCAAAAATGTTAACTCTGAACCTGGATGATTAAGCTCCAAATCCTGGATCCTCCACTTTACTGACACAGTAAAGTCAGTACTGGACAAACTAATCTTTCTGTGTCTCAGTTTTCTCAACTGTAGACAAATAATAACACTTCATATGGTTGTAAGAGTTAAATGAGCTGGTATTTATAAAGTGCTTATGTCCGACTGTGCCTAACACACAGAAGACACTATGTATTTGTAAAACATTTTTAAAATAATCTGCAGACAAATATAAGGTATACAAATACCTTTGGAACATTACCTAAAATTACTAAGAGTAAAGAAAAGACTGAACAGAACAAATATACACATCTTAAAATTTGTAAGATATATTAAAGTCAGGTGACCTACAGCTTGAATTTTTGAAAACTTTAAATAACGTGAGTACAAGAGTCTTATCGTTTCTCAAGTTAACAGGATGCTGCATTACAAAGTATTCTACTAGCTGAGGAAGATGTTATATAAACTTTGGGATAGCTGATGGTTTCTTAACTAGCCAGTGTACCGTTTCTCTATCTAACTTTATGGTTCTCAACAACCCATGAAGTAATACTTAAAACTTTTTAAGTAAAGCATTAATTGTTTTTAAAGCATTTTATGGAGGCAGTGCCTTATTGTCACAGAGAAGAAAAATTATAAGTTCTGTTAATCCTGCAAAAGTTTGAAAGCACCAGAGATCAGTAACTACTCTGCCTTCTAAATTTTATCACTTTCTTTTCAAGCTGTGCCTTCATCAGATGTCTGCCTCTAGGGATGAAAGATTACAACACCCAATTTTAAAAAAAGAATAGACTGAATAAAGGTATTTTAATAACTGCACCTCGTAATGATCTTACTGGTTGTTGTTTGCTGTGTTGCTTATTTTTAAAATAGTTCATGAGGTCGAAATTTTAAAGTAAATTATTAATGAACTCAATGCAAAAAGGAAAGGTCTGGTAACGGGACATCACATTTATCAGCCTAAATCAAAGTGTCATTTTCTCTGTTGTTTATCATGTGAATTAGATGTTGAAAAAGCCTTCCAAAGTCCAGAAATTGTTTTCTCTTCCCTGTACAGCGTTTTTGGGAATGCATTTGGAGAATCCACATACTACTAAAAAAATAAAATAAAATCACAGGATTAGTAAGGCCAAAAACATTAAATTGGAAAAAATCAAGCAGGACCATGCTATTGTGAAGCTAATAAAAAAAATTTTTTTCATCTCTACCATCACAAAAACACAAAAGTAAAGATAGCAAAATGTTCTGTACATTTCTGCATGGAGAAAGTCCCAAATTATCACAGGGCAGTCATTTCCTAACCCTATTCTCCCACCAGCACCCTCTCTTCTCTCTACAGGAATCAATGCCCCAATCTAATTCATGTTGCTGTCAGATATTATATCCCTGAGTTTTGCTGTCCAAGAGAAGAATTGTGTAGCCAAGGGAAAATGAGGCAAACTTCATAAAAGAAAGGATGTTGAATGAAAACCCTAAGCATACCTAAGACCTAAACTCACTGATTCAGTCACAAAATGAGCTTAAGGGAAAAGGGAAATTTATAAAAAGCATACGGGGTTATCTGTTGAAACTGAAGGTCAAAATATGCATCTGGGCTTTGTGAGACACTAGAACCAAGAACAGGAAAGTCAGCAGAAGCCAACACACCTGCTATTTTCAACTTTTTGCTCTCTCAGGGAAGCAAGATCTAAAATCTATTTCTCTCTACAGATTGGCTTCATTCTTTAATTTCGATATGGACTCACTTACAAATGGACCACCTGACTACTGTCATCACAAGTTCCCCGGGGAAGAGAACCTAATTAGAAGAGACAAGCTCTCTAGAGGAGATTGTCTCTCTGTCCAGTGAGTGTTGGTCATTTGTGTTATGGAAATAGTGCACAATGAGGGTCATGACAATAGTCTACACCAAGGAATGGTAAATTTTTCTCTGTAAAGGGGCTGATATGGACCCGGTGGGAGGTAATTGAATCATTGGGGCATGTCTTTGCTGTGCTGTTCTCATGATAGTGAATAAGGCTCACGAAACATGATGGTTTTAAAAAGAGGAGTTTCCTTGAACAAGCTCTCTTTGCCTGTTACCATCCATATAAGATGTGACTGGTTTCTCCTTGCCTTCTGCCATGATTGTGAGGCTTCTCCAGCTACATGGAACTGTGAGTCCTCCATTTAACCTCTTTCCTTTGTAAATTGCCAATTTGTAAATTGTGCGAATAAATCTTTATTTACAAAAATAGGGATGGGGCAGGATTGGTTCCTCATGCTGTCATTTGCTGACCCCTAGTCTACAACTACACTATGAGCAGAAAAGACTATTTAACAAAGGGGTGGGGCAAGTTGGAGGGGGTAATCATCTCCAGTATTCTCACCAAGCACTGAATATTGGAAGCAGAGGCCTTTCATGTATGGGGAAACCTAAAGCATGACTGCAAGTGATAAAGCATTCACATCATGTTCAGAGAACAGTTCTCATTCTATCAACAGAATTTCACCCTCAGGAACATGCCTGCCTTCCCTCAGGATAAGTAGGGAAGGGAGAGCTCAGAAAAAAGAGGACAGTTCAGCCAACTGAGTTGGAATAGAGAGATTCATAACATTGTAGGGAGGGCAGGTTTTCAGAAATATATGCCTAATGATCTCATATCTAGTTATAGCCCTGCTGGGAATTGTACATTGTAGGGAACACGGTAGAGCAATGCACAAGGTGAAGTTGGAAACAAGGCAGTAGGCAATTTTAAAGTCCCATTTTGAGCTAGGAAGAAAAAGGGGATATAAATATTGCATGAAGTAGTGTCTTAAAATCCTATTCTATCCATTTCAGCAAACTAGATACTCAGTGTTTAATAGCACCTGAAGCCAGCTATAATAAGGATGAAGGAAAGATATGTGCACCAGTGGAGTAGCCACCTCAACAGCACCGATAATACCAAGAGCTAAAAGGTCGTGTTTGTTTAATGCTTTCCATAAGCAACTGGTCTGACCAAAAGAATTCTGCAGGAATGATTAAGCTTTCTTTAGCGCTTATTGTAGCCTAGATATGGTCAGCAAGACCGAGCTCTGCAATCAGTAGAACGGGACAATCACAGATAGGTTTCAGTGACCTCTCTTGGCAGCAATTTTCCTCTCTGCCCTCACTGGCTTCAATAGATTCCCTGGTTTGCAGTTATTACCTTGGCAGGACTGTTCTGCCCCTCTCTGTCATGTAAGATAGCCTGGGATAAAAAGGGAGATGGCAACAACTGAAGCAGGTGGATACTAGAGGGGTTATTAAAATACTGAGTACTTGATATTTTAAAATAAAAAATTAAAAGCAAATGGTTTCCAAATACCTGCCAACCTTGGAGATATTGGGGATTTGTTTCGAGACTAATGCAATAAAGCAAATATCAAAATAAAGCAAGTCACATTAATTTTTAGTTTTTCAGTGCATATAATAGTTATGTTTCTCTATATAGTATATATATATATAATGAATATACAATAGTCTTTTAAGTATGCAACGGTATTATGTATAAAAAACAATGTCCATACCTTAATTAAAAACACTTTATTGCTAAAATATGCTAACAATCATCTGAGCCTTCAGCAAGGCATAATCTTTTTGCTAGCAAATGGTCTTGCTCGATGTTGACAGCTGCTGACTGATCAGGGTGGTGGTTGCTGAAGGCTGGGGTGATTGTGACAATTTCTTAAGATAAAACAACAATGAAATTTGCTACATTGACTGACTCTTCCTATCATGAAAGATTTCTCTGCAGCATACAGGGCTATTTGACAGCGTTTTATGCACAGCAGAACTTTTGCAACTGGATTCAATCTTCTCAAAACGTGTTGCTGCTTTATCAAGTGAGTTTATGAACTATTATAAATCCTTTGCTGTCATTTCAACAATATTCACAGCATCCTTACTAGGAATAGATTTATTCTGAAGAAACCACTTTCTTTTCTCATCCATAAGAAACAACTCCCCCCATTCATTCAAGTTTGATCATGACATTACAACAACCCAGTCACATCTTTGGGCTCCACTTCTAATTCTAATTCTCTTGCTATTTTCATCACATTGGCACTTACTTTCTTCTCTGAAGTCTTGAACCCCCTAACGTCATCCATCAGGGTTGGAATCAACTTCTTCCAAACTCCAATTAATATTGATATTTTGACCTCCTCTCATGAATCAAAAATATCCTAATAGCATCTAGAATGGTGAATCCTTTCCAGATGGTTTTTAATTTACTTTGCTTAAATCCATCAGAGGAATTACTATCTATGGCTGCTATAGTGTTAACAAAGGTATTTCTTGAATAATAAGACTTGAAAGACAAAATTACTCCTTAATCCATGGGCTACAGAGTGAATGTGCTGTTAGCAGGCATGAAAACAAGAGTAATCTTCTGTGCATCACAATCAGAGCTTTTGAGTGACTAGGTGCATTGTCAATGAGCAGTAATATTTTGAAAAGAATCTTTTTTCTGAGTAGTGTATCTCAACTGGGGACTTAAAATATTCAGTACACCACACTATGAAGAGATGTGCTCTCGCCAAGATTTGTTCCATTTATAGAGCAAAGGTGGAGTAGATTTAGCATAATTCTTCAAAGCTCTAGGATTTTAGGAATGGTAAATGAACACTGGCTTTTAAAGTCACTAGTTGTGTTAGCCCCTCACAAGAAAGTCAGCCTGTCCCTTTGATGCTTTGAAGCTGGTCATTACTTTCTCCTCTCTAAGCTATGAAAGTCCTACATGGCATCTTCTTGCAATAGAAGGCTGCTCCAAACTTTTCTTCTGCAACTTCCTCACCTCTCTCAGTCTTCGTGGAACTGAGGTGAGTTAAGGCCTTGCTCTGCACTAGGCTTTGGCTTAATGAAATGTTGTGGCTGGTTTGATGTTCTGTCCAGACCACTAAAAACATTTTTCATATCAGCAATAAGCCTGTTTCACTTCCTTATTTATGTGTTCACTGGAGTAACACTTTTAACTTCCTTCAAGAACTCTTCCTTTGCATTCACAATTTTGCTAACTAATTGGTGCAATAGGCCTAGCTTTTAGCCTATCTCAGCTTTGTTTTTTTTTTTTTTTTTTTTTTCTTTTCTTCCAGCCTGTGTTGCCCAGGCTGGAGTGCTGTGCAGCCTCAAATTTCTGGGCTCAAGCAATCCCCCCACCTCACTCTCCAGAGTAGCTGGGACTATAGGCACACACCACCACACCCAGCTAAATTTTTTATTTTTTAACAAAGACTGAGTCTCACTACTTTGCTCAGGCTGGTCTCAAACTCCTGGTCTCAAGCAATCCTACCACCTCAGCTTCTCACAGTGCTGGGATTTTAGGCATTAACCACCATACTGGGCCCTATCTCAGCTTTTGACATGCCTTCCTCACTAAGCTTAATCATTCTGGCTTTTGATTAAAAGTCTGTTGTGTGGGCGGGTGCAGTGGCTCAACGCCTGTAATCCCAGCACTTTGGGAGGCTGAGGCGGGCAGATCACGAGGTCGGGAGATTGAGACCATCTGGCTAATGCGGTCTGGCTAACGCGGTGAAACCCTATCTCTACTAAAAATACAAAAAATTAGCCAGGCGTGGTGGCGGGCACTTGTAGTCCCAGCTACTTGGGAGGCTGAGGCAGGAGAACGGCCTGAACCCGGGAGGCGGAGCTTGCAGTGAGCCAAGATCGCGCCACTGCACTCCAGCCTGGGCGACAGAGCGAGACTCGGTCTCAAAAAAATAAAAAAAGTCTGTCGTGTGACTCTTCCTTTCACTTGAAAAATTAGAGGCCATTGTGAGGTTATTAATTAGCCAAATTTCAATATTGTTGCCTTTAGGGAATAGGGAGGCCCAAGGAGAGGAAGAAAAATGGGGGAATGGCCAGTTGGTAAAGCAGTCAGAACACACACTACATTTATTGATTAAATTTGCTATCTCATATGGAGATGGTTCGTGGCACCCTAAAACAATGACAATAGTAACTTCAAAAATTACTGATCATAGATCACCATAAAAGTATAATAATAACAAAAAGGTTTGAAATATTGTGAGAAATATCAAAATGTGACACAGATATACGAAGCACATGAAGTGAGCATGTGCTATTAAAAAAATGGTGCCAGGCCGGGCGCGGTGGCTCACGCCTGTAATCCCAGCACTTTGGGAGGCCGAGGCGGGCAGATCACGAGGTCAGGAGATCGAGACCATCCTGGCTAACACGGTGAAACCCCGTCTCTACTAAAAATACAAAAAATGAGCCGGGCGTGGTAGCGGGCGCCTGTAGTCCCAACTACTCGGGAGGCTGAGGCAGGAGAATGGCGTGAACCCGGGAGGCGGAGCTTGCAGTGAGCCGAGATCGCGCCACTGCACTCCAGCCTGGGCGACAGAGCGAGACTCCGTCTCAAAAAAAAAAAAAAAAAAAAAAAATGGTGCCAATAGACTTGGTCAACACAGGACTGCCACAAACCTTCACTTTGTTAAAAAAAAGAATTAACTTAATATCTGTGGAATACAATAAAATGAGATGTACCTGTGTATTTTCCACGGTTTGGAGGCAATATAGCACAATGGCCAAAAGCAAGCCCAGGGTTTATGTCTTAGAACTAGCCAGCTATAGGATTCTGAGTTACTAATCCTCTCTCAGACATAGGTTCTTTTTTTGAAAAATGGAAAGAAGAGTAATTCTACCTCCTAGAATTACTGCATCGCTTAAATGAGATTAAATACGTAAAAAGCTGAACTTAACATCCTTGTGCTTACCACAAATGTTAGTTATATTATATATTTTATACTATATTAACAAAAATTTTAAACTACCTAGCTAGAGAGAAGTCAAAGAAATATTAAACCATCACTGTGATATGTATGAGAAAATTAGGGCTCAGAAATGTTGAGGGGCATTTTATTACTCTTTGAGCCAGTATATACAAAACTCCAGAGTCTTGGCTACTTCTTTGAGAAGGTTAATGGTACCGACTAGCTTCATTTGTCATTGCCTTACATGCCCTCTTATATGTAGTAAGTTTCATTTTACTCTGCTATGGGATTCCTTTGGAGCTAGAGAACAGACATCCAATTACTCATTCATTGTTCAGCAAGTATGTCCTCTATCACAGCATCCTACATTACTATGTCATGCACTTGAGATATAATCATGGCAGAAATCTGGCCCTGTTTCCCAGGGAATTATTATCTAATCCATAGGTGTGTCCTATTGCAGAGTGCCTTGAGGCTCATCTGTATACTGGGAAAAACTTTATTGCAAAGGTTTAGTAGGTATGACATTTCAGACTGTAAACTCACAAAGGAACAAATGGAGTTAACTTTATTTTTCTATAAATGAATTTAGTTCGTATCTAGAGGCCGCATTCTGTCCAGTAGTAGAAAAGGTAATCCTGGTTAGTTTGGAGTTCACTCCATAACATCCCAGAGTCTTCTCTATTTTTTTCCCATGAAGTTTCATCTGCATTCCTCAGGCTTCATAACACCAAGCTATTTGGTTATCTGGTCCCAGGGAGCTGTCTGTCCACTCTGGCATTCAACGAAAGATGTATCACATTGTCTCTTCCATCATCACTATCCCCTTAGGCCAGCAACTGCAGGATTATTCACATTTCCCCTGATATCTAGCTGAATAGCCTACCCATCATCCTTCCCCCGAGACCTTATCAAGTCTACCAGTTTGCCTTCTCAGCTATCCATTTTCACCCTTCTCAGATTTACAGAAAATATTGCTTATACACTCTGAGGCTATCTTAGGCTTTCTCTGTTCAAGACCTCTTGAACTATCTTTTATGGAGATTCCACATCATGTTAAAGCAAGAAAATCTTCAAGGCTGTCACACCCAGAGTCCCAAGTTAAGTGAGTACAGGTCTCCTTTACTCTCATATCCCTGAATCTATGTGGAAATTCTATTGCTTTCACAACCCAAGGAGGCAGAGGTAGGTTCTCCTTTCAGACATCCATACCAGCAATTTCTTCTATTGCTTTTTCTCCTCAGTTTTAATATATTACTGTCTTCTAGAATTCTTCACTTCTTTCCCAGATAATAAAATTTTTATCTGTTTCTAATTTAGAAAAAATTTGGAATGAGAAACTATTCTTCCAATTCTATTGTTTTATTCAAGGTCCTTAGTTTCTGAAGTATAAAAGTCAATTGATAAATGATGGTTCTTTTTATTTTATCTACTTATAAAGTTTATGAGTTATGTCTAGCTACCTCAGTGAAAAAGTATTATGGGGCAAAATAAATTTCCAAGGGTGAAAGCATAACAACATCTTATTCTGCTACAGTGTTAAGAGTCAGAGTCCTCTTTGAAGGAATGGAGCCTCCTTTGTGGAATTTGTGAGAATTCTGCAGTAACCAAAGCTGGGTCCATGTCTTCATGTCAAGATAATGATGGGATGTTTTCTTAACACTTAGCTACATCTTGAGTCCTATCTCCATATCAACTTTTATGGGTAGAATTGTGCCCCACTCCCCCCAAAATATGTTGAAGTCCTTACCCCTGGAACTTGTGGATATAATTGCATTTGGAAATAGGGTCTTTGCAGATATAATCAACTTAGGATGAGGTTATTAGGGTAAGCCCTAATTCAAAATGGCTGGTGTCCTTATAAGAAGAGGAGAATGGACACAGCAATACAGACACACCTAGGGAGAATACCACATAATAAATGAAAGCAGAGATCAACACACAGCAGCAGCAAGCCTTGAAATGCCAAGGACTAACAGCCACCACCAGAAGCTAGGAAGGATTTTCCCCTAGAGCCTTTGGAGAGAGGATGGCCCTGCAGACATGCTGATTTCAAACTAACTTCTAGAACTGTAAGATAATAAATTTTTGTTAAGTCATAGGGTTTGTGTTATTTTGTAGTAGCAACCCTAGGAAACTAATACACCTAAGCTCAGCCCCTCAAGAGTTGCTCATTTGGAAGAATATGATATTCAAATAGTTTGGCTTATACCCTCTAAGGTCTCCTAACATCAATTTCCAGAAAACTAAAGAAAGCCCCACAAGCTGATTGTAATGAACCTCTCCTCAGGATCTGTTTACCTGAGTCTTAAGGAGCCTAAAGAACATAAGAGCTAAGACAGAGCCGACTCTAGAATATAGTTGGAGTTTCTTTGAGTAGCCACAGTTTTTAATCCCTGTGAAAAGGTAGGGAGAGTCTGACCTCGAGGCACAGCCATGGGCCTTCTTTCCTTCATGTTTTAAATGTTCTACCTAGGTAATATCATACAGTCTTACGAAGTTAAGTGTTATCTGTATGCTAATGGATTCCAAATATATTGTTCAGTGTATGGCCTCTGCAATAAGGCCAGACTTCTACATCCAACTTTCTGCTTGACATTTCCATTTGATTGCTGCCCTGCAACCCAAATGTTACATTACTAAATCAGAAATCTTGATCCACAGATACTCTCTCTACCAAAGCTCTGCGTATTTTAATATTCCCCATCTCAGTAAATGACACCTTCATCCATTCATTTGATTGGTCCTAAAACACAAGTGTATCCCTAGATACCATCCATAAGTAATTCCTGTCAATTATATTTCCAAAATATATCCTCCTCAATAATTACCACCCTTCCCTATGACACTATAATCTATTGCCTAGACTTCTACAATAACGTCTTTAGACCTTACGGTCCATTTTCTTCTCGGTCATCAGAATTTTTTAATTTAATTTTTTTTTTTTTTTTTTTTTTGAGACGGAGTCTCGCTCTGTCGCCCAGGCTGGAGTGCAGTGGCGGGATCTCGGCTCACTGCAAGCTCCGCCTCCCGGGTTCACGCCATTCTCCTGCCTCAGCCTCCCAAGTAGCTAGGACTACAGGCGCCCGCCACTACGCCCGGCTATTTTTTGTAGGTTTAGTAGAGACGGGGTTTCACCGTTTTAGCCGGGATGGTCTCGATCTCCTGACCTCGTGATCCGCCCGCCTCGGCCTCCCAAAGTGCTGGGATTACAGGCGTTAATTTAATTTTTAAAAATTTAAAACACCATTCAAATATTCACACTTAAAAGGCTAAACAGATTACATAATGTTAACCTAGGATGAAGGAAAGCTAATGGAAAAAAAGTAATCAACCCACTAAAAATGTTTATATTGGAATCTATAACCCAGGCCTGCACTTTATAAAATGTAGTCTAAGGAAATAGCCTTCTAATATACAAGAAGAGACAAAACAGTTTGAGATGCAGAAGACACATTGTTTTTTTCATGGAGTCTTACAATACATATTAGTGTATTTGAAGGCTTTGAGATATCAGAAAGCAAAGACAAACACTCAACATCGTTTAATCCAGAATTTTATGTGAAACTTTTTATTTGTAACATTTATTAATATACTGTAGCATTTAGGAATACATTCTGGAAAATGCTGCTTTAAACCAGAGGATTCCAATCAAAGACCAGCATCAACAAATTTCAAAGCCTAAGCTGGCAGATATACAAGCTCTGTCCAGCTCCACCTCTTCATAGTTTGCAGAGATTTGTAGCACACACAGAAGTGCTAAAGGTGGCACGTCTCCTTTAGGAGGACCTTACTGTCAGTGCCTCCAGCCCTGTGATCTGAAATCCTACGGGAGGTTAAGGTAGCTCTTCATGATGAATGGGCCAAATAGAGCCCTCCCCATCTGGAATTGATAAAAAAGAAAACAAAGGACATGGGCCCTATAAGTAATTTGATTATAAAGAGGCAGATGCTTGGCTAAAGCTCTATCAGAAGACGTTGAAAATCATTCTGTAAGATTGAAACAAAGAATAGAAATCTGGGGTTCACTTCTCAGTAATTAAGTTCAAAATCATAGTAATATGACAAATTGTTATTTATTAATAAAATTATTGAGCTACATGTGTTAACCAAGTATCATCAAAGATTTACAGAGGGTCACAAAAAAGATAGAATGGGCACTTTTGAAAGACCTAGTGTCAATCTTTTTTTGAAAAAAAGGAAAGAATCAGGATATATATTATATAATCTGAAAATAACAGTTTCAGGTGACATTTAGTAAATTAAGCTTTTACTAATAGAATATGCTTAATTCAGGAAAATCAGTTGCAAGAAGTCAATTTAAATGATTATGTACTGGAATAAAATAAGTAATTATTATATATACATATAGAATATGATATAGAATAACATATAGAATATCAAATGAAAGTTTATTCTATATGTAAATACTTTTTAATTCCTAGCAGAAAAGCAAAAAGTGTCAATAAATGTTTTTTGTGTGTCTTAAAACTGGAGAGTGAAGGATAAAATGGTGGTAAACAACAACAACAAAAAAATGATACAGGAAGTGAACTGTTTCCAGAGGAAACTAAGAGCTATAAAATTCAGAATGAGTAAGAGACTGTTGTAACTATTTTAAGGAGAAAAAAAGAAAATATAGTGTATGTAAGCTCCTAAATAAATTAGACCTATTAAATCCATGATGTGTAAAACACTGAGCCACTGAATTTCTTTTAATTGTCCTTTAGGTAAAAAAATAAAGTGAAGCTTTTAGGAGCAATAAGGTGCAAAATGAGAATAGTATGGTCCTTTGGGGAGATGAGCAAAACATACTCAGTTAAAAGAGAAAGGTGATGGCCAGAAAGGTGGGTATCAGGTATATTCAGTACAAACTGCATTTATTTGGCTGTTTTTATTAATTTTGTTTCTATTAACTTTCTATTGTTGTAACTGATCCAAAGTTACCCCACTCTGCACAAACTATGTGGTGGAGGAGGGAGGGGAAGAAAGGGTTTGCCTAAGCAAATTACTTGTGTAAACACAGTTAAAGAGCTATTGTTTAAACAAATCTGGCAGGTACTTCGCTTGGAAACCCTTGGTTAGCCATTAGTTGGTGTTACTAATTAACCTACTCCTTCTGCCATCTGCTCTTTTCTCTTCACAGTCTCTCCCTTAGACAGTGGATCTATTCTCATGACTTTCCCTATCACCTTTTTGCTAATGACTCCCAAACTCAGGTATCCATCTCTCAATTCTTTCTAGATGCCAGCCTCAAAGTTTCACACACTAAATAAAATTCTGTATTCATAAAGCCAAGTTCATTGTGTTCTTCCCAAAAACTGCCACCTGCCCTAACTTCTCCATTTTAGTCAATGACACCATCCTTCTTCCAGCCAGTCAGCCTTGATATCTTGGGGCAATTTAGAATTGCTTTCTTTCTTATAATGCACATATAGAAAAGCTCCCAAATGTTCCATTCTAATAAGACCATCCTAGGCCATGTAGCTATTGACCCATACTGAAATACCTCCTGGAATCCCTGACCCTTACTTTTCTCCAATATACCACTTTTTTCTATATAGAAGGGTATACACACACACACACTGTCTCTCACACACACAGTCTTCTAAATTAAAGCATACATATACATTTATATACTTTAATATATTAATTAAATAATATATTAATTTATATATATTAAAGTGTATACATATATATACTTTAATTTAGAAAGTGTGCATGTAAGCTTTGTGTCCATCCCTTGATCAAAAACTTTCATTTTCTACCTGCACTATACCTTATCAAGTATTATAACAGTAGTGATAAGAGTATGGACTCTAGAGCCAGGCTGCTTGAATTCAAACACCAGCTTGGCAACATCTTAGCCATAAGGCCTTGGTCAAATGATTTAAACTTGTTGTACTTCAGTTTTTTCCTCTGTAAAATATGAATAATAATAATATCTAAATTATAATGTTGCTATGAGAATTAAATGATTTAACACATTATTTAGAACAATGCCTGGCACACAGTTAATGTGGAATAAATAATAGCTATTATTATGAAAAATCATTTCTGTTTAATTTTCAAGGTCCTCTAAGTCAAATTTTACCTGAACCTAATAACCTTCTTTCACATGACTTTATAATAAGACCTTCTATTCATTAGGCTGGGCCACTTCACCATTAGATAAGATCATGCAATTTCCTGCCTCCATGCCTTCCCTGTAAGAAACATTTGTGTCTTCCATGTCTCAAAGCCCATTGGCTCCTATCCTATTCCAGCCTGATTGGTCAATCCATTTGTTAAGATCCTCAAACTTTATGGGTAACGGGTTTGATTTCAATTGCATATTATTTTACAACCATTTAATATTATTTTATTTATTTTATTATATTATTATTTTATCTTACAACCATTTATTATTATGTATTATTTTACAGAGTTCCTTCTTGTTTTATTTGTATGATTGTTTTTTCTTGCTATACACCATGTACAATGAATAAAAGCTCTAGACTGGAGTCAGACAAAAATAACTTTATGACCTCAGCTAGTAATTTAAGCACCGTGTTCCTTATTGCCTCCATTTATCAAACATTACCTGGCAAATTGTAAGCACTTAAGAAATATATGATGTATACTGTCAAATTCTACCAGATATAAAAGGAAGAAGTGGTACCGTTCCTACTGAAACTATTTCAAAAAATAGAGGAGGAGGGACTCCTCCCTTACACATTCTTTGAGGCCAGCATCATTCTGATATCAAAACCTGGAACAGACACACACATACACACACACACACACACACACACACACAAACTTCAGACTAATATCCTTGATGGACATTCATGCAAAAATCCTCAACAAAAATACTTGCAAAATGAATCCAAAAGCACATCAAAAAGTAATCCACCATGATCACATAGGCTTTATCCCTGAAATGCAAAGTTGGTTCAACACACACAAATCAATAAAGGTGATCCACCACATAAACAGAACTAAAGACAAAAACCACCTGATTATCTGAATAGATGCAAAAAAGGCTTTTTATAAAATTCAACATTCCTTAATGCTAAAAACTCAAAAAAACTAGGTATTGAAGGAACACACCTTAAAATAATAAGAACCATCTACGACAACCCCACAGCCAAGATCATACTGAATGGGCAAAAGCTGGAAACATTCCCCTTGAAAACCAACAAAGACAAAGATGCCCAGCTTTCACCACTTCTATTCAACATAGTATTGGCAGTCCTGGCCAGAGCAATCAGGCAAGAGAAATAAATAAAGGGCACCCAAATAAGAAGAAGAAAAGTCAAACCATCCCTGTTTGCAGATGTCATGATTCTATTAATACATCTGGAAAGCCCCATCATCTTGGCCTAAAAGCTCCTTCAGCTGATAAACAACTTGAGCAAAGTTTCAGGATACAAAATCAACATACCAAAATCACTAGCATTTCCATAAACCAGCAACAGCCAAGCTGAGAGACAAATCAGAAATGCAATCCAATTCACAATTGCCACAAAAAGAATAAAATACCTGGGAATACAGCTAACCAGGGAGGTGAACAATCTCTACAATGAGAATTACAAAACAATGTTCACAGAAATCAGAGAAGACACAAACAAATGGAAAACCATTCCATGTTCATGTGTAGAAAGAATATGACCATACTGCTCAAAGCAATTTATAGATTAACTGCTATTCCTATCAAACTTCCAAGGACATTCCTCACAGAACTTGAAAAAAACTATTAAAAAATTCTATGGAACTAGAAAAGAGCCTGAATAGCCAGACAATTCTAAGCAAAAGGAGCAAAACTGGAGGCATCACATTACAGACTTCAAACTGTACAACAGAGACACAATAATCAAAACAGCATGGTACTGGCACAAAAATAGACACATAGTCCAATGAAACAGAATCTAGAGCCCAGAAATAAAGCCACACACTACAATCATCTGATCTTTGACAAAGTTGACAAAAACAAGCAATGGGGAAAGAAATCTGTATTCAATAAGTGGTGCTGTGGTAAATGGCTAGCCATATACAGAAGATTCAAACTGGGCCCCTTCCTTACACCATAGACAAAAATCACTCAAGATGGATTAAAGACCTAAATGTAAAACCCAAAACTATAAAATCCTGGAAGACAAACTAGGCAATACCATTTGGATATGGGAACTGGCAAAGATTTCATGGTGAGATGCCAAAAGCAATTGCAACAAAAGCAAAAACTGACAAATGGGATCCAATTAAAGTTAAGAATTTCTGCACAGCAAAAGAAACCATTAACAGAGTAAATAGGCAACCTACAGAATGGGAGAAAATATTTGCAAACCAAAGTTCTAATATCCAGCATCTATAAGGAACTTAAACGAATTTACAAGAAAAAAAAACCCCGTTAAAAATGGGCAAAGGTCACAAACAAACACTTGTCAAAAGAAGACATACATGCAGTCAACAAGCATATTGTTAAAAAAGCTGAATATCACTGATCATTAGAGAAATGCAAATCAAAATCACCATGAGATATCATCTCACACTAGTGAAAATGGCTATTATTAAAATGTCAAAAAATAACAGATGCTGGCGAGGTTGCAGAGAAAAGGAAACACTTATACACTGTGGGTGGGAGTGTAAATTAGTTCAACTATCATGGAAAGCAATGTGGTGATTCCTCAAGGAGCTAAAAACAGAACTACCATTTGACCCAGCAATCCCATTACTGGGTATATATATATATATATATACAAATGAATCATTCTACTGTAAAGACATGCACACAGATGTTCATTGTAGCAGTATTCACAATAGCAAAGTCATGGAATCTACCCAAATGCCCATGGATAAAGAAAATGTGGTACATATACACTGTGGAAAACTATGCAGACATAAAAAAGAACAAAATCATATTCTTTACAGGAACATGGCTGGAGCTGGAGATCATTATCCTTAGCAAACTAATGCAGGAACAGAGAACCAAATACCACATACTCTCACTTATAAGTAGGAGGTAAATGATGAGAAGACATGGACATAAGGAGCGGAACAACAGACACTGGGGCCTTCTTGAAGTTGGAGGGTGGGAGAAAGGAGACGATCAGAAAAAATATCTATTGGGTACTAGGTCTAGTACCCAGGCGAAGAAAAAATCTGTACAACAAACCCCCATGACATGAGTTTACCTGTACAACAAACTTGAACATGTACCCCTGAACCTAAAAGTTTTAAAAAATAAAATAAAGGAAAATGAAAAAAGGAAATACATAATGTATAAATGAGTGAGTTAAGAAAAACAAAAAGAATTAAGGAGTAGATCATGACAAACGTCATTTCAAATAACTCTCAGTAATTTTAATTTGTAATCTATCATTTCTCTTTGCTATAGCTCAGAAAGGCATTGAGAAAAGCAGGTGAACGGCAGTGGCAGGCTGAGATTGACCAGCTACTTTGTGACAAGCAGTTTATTTAGATAATCTTATTTAATCCCCTATAGAGGGAGTATTATTACCATTATTTTATGACAAGAGAAGTTATGTTCAGAAATATGAATAAATTTGGAAACACTGTATTAGGAAGTTCCACAGCTTGCCCAGATCCAAATCAAGAACAGTTTAAAGGAAAAACCCATTTCTTTCCACTACCCCACACTACTTTTTTCATAGTAGTTGCTCAGTTAATAATTCTGGCAGGTCGGTTTACTGTAAGTACTTGAAATGAGAGTCACATTTATTTTAAAATATAGCCATTTTATCATGCCACACTATGTACTTTATAATGTTTAGGAAGCTGATATTTTGTATTTCAAAAATTTTAATAATTCATTCATAATTTTCTCCAGTATTATCCAAAGTGGTAAGTGTTTGGTGAGCTTAAAATGTTGAAAATGTGTGTTGGTTTATGCTCTTTTGTATCCAACGCTAATTTTCTTAAACATCTGCCTCTAAATGACAAGGCATCACTAATTAGAAAAGCAGCTATCAGTTAAATAAATTGATCTTTAAATTGTAAACCTGAAACTACTCATGGGAAAATTACCAATTTGGTGATTATTGACTAAGTATAGGTTTTGAAGAAATTCTCTAGTGTATAAGCCGCAAGCAGCTTGAAAATCAGATAAATTAGAAAAACAGATGCCAAAAAAATTGTAACAGAAATGCAAATAAACTACACAATATGTTAAAAAGAAAGGCAATCTCGGCACTTATCACTGCACAGAATAATGTAAGCAGAGATGGCACTGGACAAAGAGTACACAAACCTGAGTCTGCAAACTAGCTGAGCCACTTCCTGAATATATAACATTGGAAAAAATCACTTCACCTCTTTCTCCTAATCTCGGGTTCTTTATGAGATTTATTACCTAATTTGCATGCATACCTATGTGTGTATACCATTAATCCTATTTACTGCCACATGAAATTAAACACAAATATAGATATATTAACAAAATTGCATATGTAATATCTATATGTTTAATCTATAAAGTGTAAAGGAATATTAAATAGCAAACACTAATATAAACAGTAATTGAAAGGTTAGAGTTTCTAGAAGAAAACAATCTTTACGTATATCAATGGGATCTTTTTAAGACAATCCAGTTAAAAGCAAAGCATTTTTTCAAAGAAATTATTGGATAGTAATAAAATTGATGGATTTACATAGTAAGCTTTAATCAAGATTTTTGAAACAATGCTACCAATTTTTTGCAGGGAAATATTCAGTTTGATACGATGGAATGCTACATAGCCAGAAAACAATTTAAAGCAGGTGTCCCCAACCCCCAGGCCATGGACCTGTACTGGTCTGGGGCTTGTTAGGAACCAGGCGGCACAGCAGGAGCTGAGTGACAGGTGAGCATTACCACCTGAGCTCTGCCTACTGTAAGATCAGGTTCTCATAGGAGTGCAAACCCTATTAACCCTATTGTGAATCGCGCATGCGAGGGATCTTGGTTGTATGCTCCTTACGAGAATCTAACTAATGCCTGATGATCTAAGGTGGAACAGTTTCATCCCAAAACCATCCCCTGCAACTCCCCACCCATGGAAAAATTATATTCCACAAAACCAGTCCCTGGTGGCAAAAAGTTGGGAACTGCTGATTTAAAGGATGTCTTGACATGGTAAGAAATTGCAGTAAAAAGGGAAGAATTCCATAAAATAATGTGAGCCATCAAGCTGGGTTCAAGTTGTTTTTGACTTTCAGATAGTCTGAAAGAATAGTACCAGATTGTGTCTTCAAATACAAGAAATACAGACGCATAGTCAGCAAGAGAGAAATAATAAATGCCTTTTATATGCAATATAACAGCCAGGAAGAGCAGAGACATAAACCCTTGCCACTTTAAGTGATGTGAGCTTCAATTCAAATAGTTGGTGAATTAATAGAACTATTTCCCATGATTCATCTTTGTATCATTTTTCTATATGAACCACCCTGTTTAATCTCATAATCTCTTCAGCCTATTCTTTTGAATACTTCCTCTTTAAAGGTAAAGGAAAGGAAGGAAATTAACAATGTCTAAATCCCTCGTCTACTATCAACTCTTGAAATTTCAATAGCCTTTGAGATTCTTTCTTCATTTACTGAATAGCAAAGACTCACGAGAATTAAACAACTATTGGAAAGTTCACAGTTATCCAGCATTTATAACATTTCTATTTGACATAAAAATCTCAGCAATACATTTTTTTTAAAATAAGCTGCTTAAAGCAAAGTCTGCTTAATAAAGTTTGTGGGTATTTTTGTGAAAAAAATAAAGACAGGAAGATAATTTGCATTAATTGAAATATAGTTTGTATAATGCATCCATTCAAATTTCAAATTTTGTCTCAAATTTTATTCTAAAGGGAAAAAGGCCTAGTAATTCAAGCACAGTTGAATGTTATAATTTTGCCCATAAGGGCAGAAGTTAATTAAGAGAAAACACTACCAAATGTCCAGTCTATGAAAGGGGAAAGGAAGGAACAAGCAGTTGGTAATAGCAGAGGAACAAGTATTGACTAAGTCTCTTCCCACACATCACTGTTAAGCAGCTGGTGACACCCTTTGTTTTTCTTCACAAGGAGAAGGCACATTTTGGTCATTAAATCATCCACTAGTGGTTTGGTTGTTACTTAAAAAAAAAAAAAGTGTTTATGTTGAAAGTAGCAAAATGGACTCATGCAAGGCAAATAGCTTACCTGAGATTCTTTCCATAATGCAGATAGAAAGAAATATTCTGGCTGAGTTAGAATACATGAGCCAATTCAATAATTCATGATTTAAAGACTTAAACATAAAAGTTTTTTAGGTAGCACCACCTGCATAAATGAGCAGATCAATTCTGTGACATCTTTGCTGGAAAATAGCAACTCTTTTTTTTTAACTATTACAGCTTCCTGCTCATCTATAGTTTTCTCTCTTGCTTGAACTGTGACTTGAAATTGTCTAGAATAGCATTCTCTTGTCTGATCATAAGAAACCCCACCAATACTTGTTAAACACACAGCTTCTTCAGCTCCATTCCAAAGTTACTCACTCAGAAACTTTCCCAGAGAATTTTTAATCTCCAGGTAATTTTAATGATGAGGAAATTTGGGCTAACGGCCTCCAAACATTTCTGTGACCCTTTCTGACCTTGATCTGTATCCTCCTGTACCTTCACCTAACATATACATATCAAAGTGAGGGAATAAAAAATATATAACTTTAATTCAAATTGGTTTTCTGTGCTCGAAGCATAATTGCATCATTATTTTATCACTACTTAATGTCAAAGTATCCAATATAAGAGTTGCAGAGGTCTTTTTTCTAATGGATAGAACTTAAAATACTTTAAAGACCAAGTCATACATTTTAACTTGCATTCTTCAAATGATTCAAGGTGGAAAATGAGAAGCAACTTGTAACGAGGTGTCAGACAATAACACACCATATTTTTCTCTTTGTGTGGGGTGAGCCAAAAGGTTATGAGCAGCCCATTCCATGTCATAAAGTGAAATTATGCATAGTTGATTAATCTTAAAGGTTGTAGAAACAGTCTGAACAATAACGACTTTAAAGATAGAATACAGATTCCCGGTATACAAATAACTATAACACAAGAAACTAGCTGCTTCATAAGCCAGTTTGTAACCATGAAATTCTCTAAGCCAACATAGTAATTTTCTCTCCCACTCTTTAAAGATTTCTGAGGACAAGGACTCCCTGGGATTACTATTCTATCACCTGTATATCATAGCTTTTTCTTATGTATAATGAATAAATAATTTCTTACCAAAGCTCTAATTCATTAGGTTTGCTCATTTGGGCACACTGGCATTATAAGATTGATAATGAGGAATTTCAGGGGGAAAAAAGTCACAATCAGCTATTAAACCTAACTGCCCGTCTGAATTCTCCCTACAAGATTTCTTCAAACTAATCATTTAGCTTTGGCTTGAAGTTTCCAGAAAGACAGCTTTCTAGAAATTGCCAGTGCATCTGTTGCCACTTCTGTGAGAAAGCTTTTTCTTGTCTTAATTTGAACAAGGCCATGTTCCTGTAACTTGTACCCAATTCTAGTTCAACTTGCTGAAAATTTTATCTTCTTCCATTTGACATCTGCAAACATTAGCATCAAACCAATCTGAAGCTTCATATCTGCTGGTTAAATTTCTCTGGTGGCTTTAACCCTTCCATACACAATATCATGTAGCTTCCTGCTTATACCATTCTGGTTTGTTTTTGTCTTACAAATTGTAAAGATGCAATAATACCCCAAGAGGACAATACCTTCACTTTCTTCATCCTTTGTACTGTGCATCCACCAAAGCATCTACAGTAGCACAGGGAACTTCACCCCAAAATATATTTCTTTGACATTTGGAGATGGCTATTCAGGATGGCTGGAATATAAGAATGGATGAAAGGCTACCTTTTGTCAGGGAGATCTGCCTTTGTAGAGACAAATCTTCATTGATGCAGCCAGGCTTTCTCTGAAGCTTTCCTTGGTCTGATCTTGGAAGATTAACTGAGAGTCTGACACCTTTAAAAGGTCTAAAAAAAATATTCCCTATCTACTTGCTACCTGTAAGGTTTCATCTTCATAACAAGACCATCTTTGCAAGCCAGGCCTCCTCTTCTCCGCCTCTCTCAACCTGTTTTACCACTATAACCTGTTTTGCCACAATCCAAGCCCCCATTCTTTCTGTAAGTTCAAGAAGGTATATAAACTACTGTACCCCATTGGAGTACATTTGTGTGCCTATTCTCCAATTGATCCGCCTTTTGTGAGTTGATTTTTCAGCAAACTTTCAGAGGGCAAAGGGAAAGCATTCCCTTGGCCCTTGCATACCTAAAATTGCAATTGTATTATGGCAGTTGCATCGCTTTGTTGCCTCACATTGCACATGCTATGATACAAGATCACCATTTGTAAATGTCTCTGTAAAAGAAACATCTCCTACATTATTTCCTGGTGAAGTTATTTTTAAGTCCAGGAACTGGCCTTTAGATTTGTTCCTATTAAGGTTTGTTTTGATAAATTTGGGTCTGTTATTTCAGCCTGTAAAGATCATATTAGTCTCAATTGTATCATGCAGTATATTCAGCATTGTTCCCATTTTGGGGTTACCTATGAATCTGATTTAAAACTCTGAGAACACAGGGATTAACAATACCACTATACATTCCCACTGCAGGATAACTCAGTGCCACTGAGTTATCTTATTGTGGGGAGTCCTTCAACCACTTGAAAATCTCCTAACTGTACTCTAATTAAGGTAACTGTCACTTGTTCCCTATTTTTCCATTGTGTCCCAGGGGCTACCATGGAAAGCCTTATCCAGAAGAAACAGAGAAAATTTGGATAAATCAGGAAAGAAATCAGGAAAAATAATTTGCAATTGGATGGGTACCTCTTAATCATTTAATATCTTCTCAGGCAGAATTTTTAGAAACTCAAACTTAAATAGCTCTAAATTCCAGATGAATATGTAGTATTTATTAAACCCCCTTGCAATACTGCAAATCTTTGGAAGAATAAATCTCTATTTAGTGTTATTTGTTCATCAAAGAAATAGACAACTTTCAGAGAAAAGAATCTGAAACTTACATAAACATCAAGCATAGATAGCAGAAACAGATAATGGCTGATATTGGCAGATCAAAGATTTCCGAAAGCAATATGGTGCCCTTTCCACATCTATGCCAAAGCTCTATGTATTAGCAGGTAACCAAAAGCAGGATTTCTAGATTTCAAATGCAATTTAGAACCAAGTAATTTCACTATTTTCACATGTAACAATTTGATTTGGTCTCAACACAGAGGGAAACAAATCCAGCTGGCAGCGAATGGTGCACCAGGCAGGTGGAGAAGCTAACTCTTCCTTCAGATGGGTCTCTCCTGACACTCAAGCTCACACATTCCAGCTGGCTTTGAAGATTTCCCAAGTTCCTCAGAATCTGGAACTCCAATTCAGAAACTCAGTTCATCCATTATTCATCATTACTTCACACCAAATTTCTAAATTAGTATCTGACCTGGAAAAAAAAAAAAAGCCTGGCTCCTTTAAATTTGAGGAGTTGTGCAGGAATGTGATGGAACGGAACACAATGTGACAGATCAATGGAAAGAAGGGCACCAGTTGAGATTTTCAAACTTAATTTGAGACTTTTTTTTAACCCACTCATAAAAAATCTAGTTGCCAACCATCCCTAAAGACCCGCATCTCCAGCTGTCAAAATAATAATTGTCAAGAAAAAAAAAAGTGCATTAGAAATTGTAAATTCCCACTATGCTTTCTAATACAAAGTTTAACATTCCATTGACTTCTTACTATGGACAAGAGCTGAGTTCTTATAATTTGAGTTTAAAGAGAAAGAGCATTTGTTGAGAAAAATGAAAAATGAGACCAGACCAACATAATTCCATGGTGCAAATATCTCATTTTTTTCTTTTGGTCCTAGGAAGTATGTTTTAAGGAAACCTAATAGTTATATAACCAATGCCATTAGGTGGTTTTCAGCTGGATTTGTTTCCATGGCAGGGTCACGCTCAGCCTGTAGCAGCACAAGTAATGAGTGAAATGCAAATGTTCAAAGTGTTTGCTGTTCCAAGTCAGAGAGAATCTATTTACAGACAGTGGAGGTCTGAAGGAGAGAGGGCTCCCTGAGCCTGTAGAACCTAAGATTGTCAGTTTAAATAACAGGACCACACACAACTGTGTTAATTGCCAAGAGGCAGGTCTGAGAGGGTCTCTTAATTAGGATGAATAGATTTCTACCTGAAATTTTCACTTTACTGTCAGGATTTCCATTGTCTTCTCTAAAGCTGTCTCATTTAGGAGCCAGGTTTGAATGCTGTGTGCAGTGAATGTAAATGATCTCAAGCTGAAGGACCTCTGCAGACAGACCCAGGTAGTCTTATTACCAATGCTAATAACACTCTGCTTGTCAAGTGCTGGGCGGCATGTGTCCCGGGTTTTGACATCTCCACATTTCTTCACATTGTATACAGATGTGCCAAGGGTCTTCCCTTGCAGGGAGAATATCAACACCAAATCTTGGAAACAGGACAGAAAGTTATGCCCACTGTGTGATAATCATAGTGGTGTGTGCTGTGAAGACTAGAGGAGAAGTCCACTGCACCCCCATCTAACCCACTAGGACTTGTATAAATAAGTAAATAACAAAAGGACAGATTGAGAATCAGCTAAGGGATCTAATTAATAAATCTACCTAAAGTAATGAAAATAAAGCAGGCTCAATGAAGTCCCTTCAATAGGAGCCTGTTACATTCTTTAAAGTGAATGAATAGTTAAATAATAAAGGGAAATAAGTACTGCATTTTCTTTAATAGGCAAAAATCAAACTACAAATAATAGAAAGGTTTCTTTACACATGACTAATGAAATCAGTTTCACCGAATTATCTAAATTACCACTAACATGATTAAGCACACCATATCTTAGCATAATACTGGGTAGAACAGGTGCTACAAAAAATATGTAAAACAATCTTTGTCTTTGTTCGCCCTTAAAAACTTCATTTATAATGCATATATTGACTAAGCAGTTGCAAGCAAAGCAGTGTCCTGGGCTTTGGGAAAATGAGAAAGTTAGAAAGTAAGAGAAATCCTCTTCCCTGCAGTGCTCTCCCTGGTGAGAGAAGAGACTGGTGATCACAATTCAGTGTGGGAGGTGGGGCCTGAGGTCAGGAGGCGATGTGTACTTTGAGCTGAGGCCTTGGATTTTTGTCTTACAACAAACGCGATTTCAAATCATGGCTCTGCCCACTTACTACCTAAGTCCCTTGAACAAGTTGCGGTTGTCTCATGCTTAAAATAGTGATGACAAAACTCAACTCCTAAATTGTTGTGAGGATGAGGCAAAGCGATATATGTAAAATGCTTCGAAGAGGGCTTGCTTCAGAGTATGGTCTCAATAAATGGTAGTTTAAAGTTTAAATTGTACTAGAAGGGAAACTGAAAGAAATTTTGAGCAAAACTCTGTTACAAAGGGCTGCTAACGGTCAAAACAAATTATATAGAACACAAATTACTTTTTAGTCACTGACACATATCTTGATGACTTGTTAATTAGAACATATCTACAATTTTATTCCCCCTTACCCTAAAAGGCCTAATGCAGGAATTTTGAGTGGATTTAGTAATATTATCCTGTTTCTTGTTGAAGTTTAGAAACAAACATAGAGGTCGAAAAGATGGAGATCAGCATATCTGAGAAATGTAGCAGGAAGAGGCTGCCTAATACTGGATCCTAGAATTAATCCGGAATTAGTCACCGACAAAGCTGGAAACTTACATCATAGAGAAGCCAAAGATATACTGCCTGAAGGCAGGCTGCTTCTCCAAGAAGGCTGGCAGAGATTAAATAACAAGGGCTGGGTTCCTTTCCCTAATCACACAAATGAGATCAAAGACACTCCTCAACCAGATAAGACTGAGTGAGCAGGCAGAAAGAGGTCAAAGATATTATTCTAGGGCAGCAGCTCTTACTGTGGTCCCAAAGACCCTTTCAGGGATCTACAAACCAAGACTATTTTTATAATAATACAAAACTGTTTGCCCTTTTCAGACTTATTCTCTCACTAGTGTACAGTGGAGTTCTCCAGAGGCTACATGACATGTAATATGACAACACAATGGTTTGCAGAAGACAGGAGACTCTAGTTGTGTTCCATTAAGCCAGACGTTTAAAAGACTTGCAAAAATTTAAGCATGGCCATCTTTCTCACTAATTAGTTTTAATTTGGGAAAATACAGTTTTTTATTGTAAAAGAGGAAAGATAAAAGAAATGAAAAGTAATGGGCTTGTTATTGTTATGTTGTAGGAGTTATTAAGAAATTATTTTAGGCAGATAGAGAAGAAAAGGGGTTCTTGGGAAGTTTTCATTTTTTAAAGCATCTCAGAGAAAGTTTCTTGTAAAGCCCTGGTTCTTAGAGCCAGGCCAGCAACTTTTGATATGCAAATGCAAGCCATTAGAAACTGGGTCCACCCAAATGTGGTGATTCCTGAGGCCTTATTGCCCTTGCCCTTGCCCTGGCAACGTGGCAGCCCCCACATATCCCCACGTGTGTAGAACATCATGGCGCCCTGCATTTGCATATTAAAGGACTAGGGTGGGAGAGCCAGCTTTTTCGAGGACTACGTGAATGACATACCTGGTCAAACCAATCCCCTAAGCCCTATGCAAATCAGACACCGCCTCCTCCAGCCTCTGTATATATCCTGGCTGGTTTCTGCCCCACTTGGGGTTTCCTCTCTGGGCTTTGGAGCTCCCCTCCCTCTGTCTCTGTACCGGAGCTTCTTCCTTCTGCCTTCTCCCTTCTTTCTGGCCTATTAAACTCTCCATTCCTTAAAACCACTCCACGTGTGTCTCTGTCATTTTTTCTAATTTGACTGGAGACCAAGAACCCTGGTGTTCCTCCACTCATCAGAGTTGTATCGGTTGTTTTTGAATAAACAAACCTATTTAAAATTTTACAGTTATTTCTAGTATGGTAAATATATATAGATAAAATTCAAATAAAAGTTCTCTGAGATTCTCAATAATTGCAAGTAGTATAAAGAGATTCCAAAATCAAAGAGATTAGGAACTACCCTTCCAGTGGAGACTGCTCCACGTGGAAGCCCAAATCTTGGGGAATAATTCTTTACATGTTACACTCAATACAGATACTTATCATAGTATACTAGATATTAGGTAAATATGTATAGGTTGGTTAAAATACATAGATTTGAAAGACTGTAACCTACAACTAATTCAGGTTTCTCTTCCTGCAAAATAAGAGAAATAGAGTTTAATTTGCATGTTTACTTTGGAGACTCTGATTATTCCAGGGATTTGATTAGTCTTTTTGTAACTTTGCCCTATGGAGAGTATTTACTTTCCCACCCCCTACCCCACCTCCCCAAGTTCTTCAGAGGTCTGCTTTTAAATGTTAATACACAGAAAATGTGATATTTGTTGTAATATTTAGGGAGAAAACTATCTAAACAGGTATCACTAAAAATTTTCTGTAAAGGGCCAGATAGTAAATGTTTTAGGCACTGCAAAGTACACAATCTTTGTCACAACAATTCCACTTTGCTATTATAGAACACACACAATCATAGGCAAAGCGTAAACAAATGAATGAGGCTGTGTTACAATAAAACTTTATTTACCAAAACAGGAAGTGGGCCTAGACCTCTGCTCTAGGGGGACTGTAAGAATATCTTTGAAGCAAATAAGAAATTTATGAATAAGTGTCCTACAACAGAGCTTTGAGCTGTGAGTATAGCATTCTAATGAGTTACATGTACTACAGTAGTTCCTTGGGTGTAAAGCTAATAATAAGATTTAAACTTGTTCCTCAGAAGAGTTTTTCTCAGGAAAAAAAATTAAAAAAAAAAAACAAAAAACGAGACTCATTGCAGCTGCTATGAGACATCTCAACAGAGATGCTGCTGAAAAATGAACAAGAAACTGAGTATGTGGGAGATGCTAGGAACCATTTGAAAGCAGCTGAAACACTTGCTGATGAGAGTTTCCATAGTGAATCATACTAGTAGGATCTAGAATTGTAGGGAAACCGCTTGATTTCCTTGGTATCTAAGGCTCCTGGGTCTCTGTGTGTGCCTGAGCAGCTGCTCTGCCAAGACTCCACATAGCTCTGTGTGTCAGACTGAGGCCCTGGTGGAGTGGGTTCATGAGGTGATCTCCTGACCTGAGGATTACAAGGACCCATGAGAGAAGTGTGGGTTTCTGGAGTCACACATTCACTCACCACTTCCCTGGGTCAGGGAGGTTCCCCTGGCTCCACGTCACTCCTGGATGACCCATTATCCTGCCTTGCTTTTCTCCATTCTCCATTGATTAAGTTGTTTCCTTGATTAGTCTCAGTGTGTGTACCTGGATATTTCTGTTGAAGGTGCTGTATTTATTCACCCCTCCTATTCCTCTCTGTGAGAATGGTGCACACCATCTCCTTCTAGTCAGCCACTTTGTCCATCTCCCTTTTTATTTTTAATTAACAAGTAAAAATGTTATATGTGGATGATGTACACTATGACATTTTTATACATGTGTACACTGTGGAATGGTTAAATCAAGCTATGT
Source organism: Homo sapiens (assembly GCF_000001405.40). Taxonomy (NCBI): domain Eukaryota; kingdom Metazoa; phylum Chordata; class Mammalia; order Primates; family Hominidae; genus Homo; species Homo sapiens. The sequence continues at coordinate 110,758,941 of NC_000003.12, forward strand.
AACATGCATTACATCACATACTTATAATTTTTTTATGGTGAGAAAAAATTCTACTCTTTCAGCAATTTTCAAGCATACAATATATTGTTATTAACTACAGTCACTATGATATACAATAGATCTCCTGAATATATTCCTCCTATGTAACTGAAATTTTGTATCCTTTAACCAACATCTCCCCAGTTGACCCTCCACACCCAAGGCTCTGGTAACCACCATTCTACTCTCTGCTTCCGTAAGTTCAACTTTTTTTGATTCCACATGTAAGCGAGGTTATGTAGTATTTTCTTTATGTGCCTAGCTTATTTCACTTCACCTAGTTTCCCCAAGTTCATCCATGTTGTTGCAAAAGACAGAATTTCCTTTTTTTAAAAAAGGCTAAATAGTATTTAATTGCTTACATATGCCACATTCACTTTATTCATTCATTGATAGGCACTTATATTGATTCCATATCTTGGTTATTGTGAATAATGCTGCAATGAATACGAGAGTGCAGATATCTCTTCCACATATTGCTTTCATATCATTTGGATACATACTCAGTAGTAGGATTGTTGGATAACATCATAGTTTTATTTTTAATTTTCTGAGGAACCCCTGTATTGTTTTCCATAATGGCTGTATTAATTTACATTCCCATTAGCAGTGTACATGGGTTTTCTTTTCTTTACAACCTTGCCAACACTTCTCTCATCTTTTGGATAATTGCCACCCTAACATGTGTGAGGTGATATCTCATTATTCTTTTGATTTGCATTTTCCCGATAATTATGTTGAGCATTTTTTCATACACCTGTTGGCCATTTGTATGTCTCTTTTGAGAAACGTCTATTTGGGTACTTTGTCCATTCGCTAATGAAGTTATTTGTTTTCTTACTATTGAGTTAAGTTCCTGAGATATTTTGGATATCAACCATTATCAGAGATATAGTTTGCAAATGTTTTCTCCCATTCTGTATGTTATCTATTCACTCTGTCAATTGCTTCCTTTGCTGTGCAAAAGCTTTCTTTTTTGATGTAATCCCATTTGTCTATTTTTACCTCTGTTGCTTTTGGGGTTACACCAAAAAAAAAAAAAATCTTTTGTCCAGACAAATGTCATGAAGTTTTTAGCCTATATTTTCTTCTAGTAATTTTATAGTTTTAGATTTTACATTTAGGTCTTTAATTTATTTTCAATTGATTTTTGTATATGGTGTGAGATGAGAGTCTAATTTTATTTTTATGCATATCCATAGTCAGTTTTTCCAGAATAATTTATTGAAGAGATTGATCTTTTCCCATTGTGTGTTCTCAGCACATTACCAAAGAAGTTGACTATAAATGCATGGACTTAATTCTGGACTTTCTATTCTGCTTCATTTGTGTCTATGTCTGTTTTTATGACACCTCCATGCTGTTTTGATTACTATTGCTTTGTAGTAGACTTTTAAATGAAGTAGAGTGATGCCTCCAGCTTTGCTCTTTTAGCTCAACATTGCTTTGGCTATTTGGGGCCTTCTGTGGTTCCCTACTAATTTTAAGATTTCTTTTCCATTTATATAAAAATGTTATTAGAATTTTGATAGGGATTGCAATGAATCTAAATTACTTTGGATGATATGGATTTTTTAACAATATTAATTCTTCTAATCCATAAACAGAGAATATTTTTCCATTGACCTGAGTCTTCTCTTTTCATAAATGTTTTATTATTTTCAGTTTACAGATTTTTCACCTGCTTGGTCAAATTTACTTCTAAGTATTTTAGTTTTGGTACCTATTGCGAATGGGGTTATTTTCTTAATTTCATGTTTGAATGAAATTCATTGTTAGTGTATGAAAACATTATGATTCTTGATGTTAATTTTATATCTGCAACTTTATTGAATTTGTTTATTAGCTGTAACAGTTTTTTGGTGGCATCTTTAGGATTTTTTAAATGTAAGATTGCGTCATCTGCAAACAGAAAAAAAATAACTTCTTTATTTTCTATTTGGATGCCATTTATTTATTGTTCTTTCTTAATTGCTCTGGCTAGAACTTTCAGCACTATGCTGAATAGAAGAGGCAAAGGTGGGCATCCTTGTATTGCCCCTTATCTTGGAAGAAAACCTTCAAAGTTTCACCATTGAGAATGTATGTTAGCTATGGGCTTGGTGTATACGGCCTTTATTGTGCAGAGGTACATTTCTTCCACACCTAATTTGGTGAGGGCTTTTATCATAAAATGTTGTTGGATTCTGTGGAATGTTTCTTCTGCATCTATTGAAATGATTATATGATTTTTGGTCTTCATTTTCTTAATGTAGTATATCACATTTAGTGGCTTGCATATGTTGAACCATTCTTGCATTCCACTTGATCGTGATGAATGATCCTTTTAATGTGCTGTTAAATTTGATTTGCTAGAATTTTATTGAGGATTTTTTCAACTCTGCTTATGAAGGAATGCTGGCCTGTAATATTCTTTTTCTGTAGTGTCCTTGTCTGAGTTTAGTATCAGAGTAATGCTGGCTTGTAAAATGAGTTGGAAAGTGTTCCCTACTTTTCAATGTTTTGGAGGAGTTTGAAAAGGATTGGTAATAGTTCTCCTTTAAAGATTTGGTAGAATTTAGCAGTGGAGCCAGAAGGTCCCAGGCTTTTCTTGGAGGGGAGAGTTTTTATTATTGATTCAGTCTCATTACTTGTAATTGGTCTGTTCGGATATTCTATTTCTTCATGATTCAGTCTTCGTAGGTTGTATGTGTCCAGGAATTTATCCATATCTTCTAGGTTACCCAATTTTTTGTCATATAATTGTTTATATTAGCCTCTTGTGATCCTGTGTATTTCTATTGCATCAGTTGTAATGTTCCTCTTTCATTTCTGATTTTATTTTTCGAGTCTTTTCTCTTTTTTCTGAGTCTAGCCTACCTAAACATTTGTCTGGGCCTAAACAAAAATGTATATTATAGTCTTAGCCTTCATCTAGTCTAACTGAAGTTTTGTCTAAACCTTTAGCCTGAGGAAAGGTTTGTGGATTTTTTCTGTTTTTTTTTAGAAAACCTACTCTTAGTTTTGTTTTTCTTTTTTGTTTTTTGCCTCTATTTTATTTATTATAGTTTCATATTATTACCTTCTTTCTACTAACTTTAGACTTTGTTCTTGATTTTCTAGTTCCTTGAGGTGTAATATTAGTTGTTTTTTTGGGGGGGGTTGCTGGGATCATTCTTCTTTATAACTTAGGTGTTTATTGGTATAAACTTTCCTCAATGAACTGCTTTTGCTACATCCCATAGTTTTGGTATATTGCATTTCCATTTTTGTTTGTCTCTAGCTATTTTTAAGTTTTCTTTGAATTGTTTCTTTGACACATTGGTTGTTTCAGAGCATGTTGTTTTATATCCACATATTTGTATGTTTCTAAAAATTCCTCCTGTTATTAATTTCTAGTTTCATACCATTGAGATTAGAAAAGATACTTGATAAGAGTTTTTCTTCTGGGTAATTTATAATGAAAAGTAATTTATTGGCTCACAATTCTAGAGACTGAGCAGTACAATATCAAAGTGCCAGCACCTGGTGAAAGCCTCGGTGACTATGATATAACATGGTAGAAAGGATCACATGTCACAAGGGCAAAGAGAAGGCAAGAGTGAGAGAGCAAGAGAGTACAAACCCGCTTTTGTGATAACACACCCACTCCCACAATAATGGCTTTGGTTCACTCATGAGAGTGGAACACTAATGACAATAAACACTTTTTGAAAGTCCCACCTTCTAATACTATCACAGTGGCAATTTTCAGTGTGAGTTTTTGAGGGAATAAACATTCAAACCACAGCAGTGGCCTAACATGTAATGTACCCTGGACAAAATTATGTGTGTTCTTGAGAAAAATGTGTATTCTGCTGCGATTGGATAAAATGTTCTCTATATGTCTGTTAAGCCCATTTGATCTAAAATGTATTAAAATCTTAGGTTTTCTTATTGATTTTTTGTCTGTATGATCTGTTCATTGTTGAAAGTGTGGTATTGAAGTCCTTTATTGTTATTTTATTGTCTATATCTCTCTTCAAATGTATTAATATTTGTTTTATATATTTAGGTACTCTGATGTTGGGTGTATATATATTTACAATTGTTATATCTTTTTGACAAACTGATCCCTTTATCATTATATAATGACTTTCTTTTTCTCGTTTTGCAGTTTCTGACTGAATGTCTATTTTATCTGATATAACTACAGCCACCTCTGCTCTCTTTTGGTTTTCATTTGCATGAAATATCTTTTTTTTATCCTTTCACTTTTAATCTATGTGTACTCTTCAAGGAGAAGTGAGTCTCTTTTGTAGGTGGCATATAGTTGAGTCTTGTTGGTCTTTTTTTTTCATTCATTCATCCACTCTATGTTTTTTGATTAGATAATTTTATACATTTACATTCAAGGTAATTATTGATAGGCAAGAATTTTCTAGTGCCATTTGGTTAATGATTTCCTCATTGTTTTATAGATTATTTTCTTCCTTTCTTGCTGCCTTCCTTTGTGGTTAGATGATTTTCTATAGTGGTATGTTTTGATTTCTTACTCTTAATCTTTTATAGCCAGACATGGTGGCTCATGCCTAAAATACCAGCACTTTGGAGGCCAAGGCAGGAGGATCACTTGAGCCCTGGAATTCAAGACCAGCCTGGGCAACATAGAGAGACCCCATCTCTACTGAAAATTTTAAAAGTAGCTGGGCATGATGACGGACACCTGTAATCCCATCTACTTGGAAAGCTGAGGTGGGTGGATAGCTTGAGTCCTGGAGTTTTAGGTTGCAGTAACCTATGATCACACAGCAATGCACTGGGAAACAGAGTGACAACTTGTCTCAAAAAAAAACATCTTTTGTGTATCTACTATGAGTTTTTGCTTTGTGATTACCATGAGGCTTACAAAAAAACACCTTATAGTTATAACTTCTGTAAGTGGTGCTGGGAAAACTGGCAAGCCACATGTAGAAGGATAAAACTGGATCCTCATCTCTCATCTTATACAAAAATCAACTCAAGATAGATCAAAGACTTCAATCTAAGACCAGAAACCAGAAAAACTGTAGAAGGTAACATTGGAAAAACTCTTCTAGACATTGGCTTAGGCAAAGAATTTATGACTAAGACCCAAAAAGTAAATGCAACAAAAATAAAAATAAATAAATGGGACCTAATTAAACTAAAAAGCTTCTGCAAAGCATATAAAATAATCAGCAGAGTAAAAGACAACCCATAGAGTGGAAGAAAATATTTGCAAGCTATGCATCCAACAAAGGACTAGTGTCCACATCTACAAGGAACTTGAACAAATCAACAAGAGAAAAATAACATCATCAAAAAGTGGGCATAAGACATGAATAGACATTTCCCAAAAGAAGATATACAAACAGCCCACAAACATATGAAAAAATGCTCAGCATCACTAATCATCAGGGAAATGCAAATTAAAACCACAATGAGATACTGCCTTACTCCTGCAAGAATGGCCATAATTAAAAAGTCAAAAAACAATAGATGTTAGCATAGATGTGGTGAAAATGAGTACTTTTACACTGCTGGTGAGCATGTAAATTAATACAACCACTATGGAAAACAGTATGCAGATTCCTTAAAGGACTAAAACTAGAACTACCATTTGATCCAACAATCCCACTACTGAGTATCTACCCAAAGAAAAAGAAGTCATTACATAAAAAACACATATGAACATGCATGCTTACAGCAGCACAATTTTCAACTGCAAAGATATGGAACCAACCTAAGTCCCCATCAAACAATGAGTGGATAAAGAAAATGTGGTATATAGATATATACCATGGAGTACTACTCAGCTATAAAAAGGAATGAAATCATGTCTTTTGCAGCAATTTGTATGGAGCTGGAGGCCATCATGCTAAGAGAAGTAATTCAGCAATAGAAAGCAAATATTGTATGTTCTCCCTTATAAGTGAGAGCTAACCTATTAGAATGCAAATGCATAAGAGATACATAATGGACTTTGGGGACTCATGGGGGAAGGCTAAGAAGGGGATGAGGGATAAAAGACTATAAATTGGGTACAGTGTACACTGCTCAGGTGATAGGTGCACTAAAATCTCAGAAATTACCACTAAAGAACTTATCCATGTAAACAAAAGTCACCTGTACTCCCAAAACTATTGAAATTTTTTAAAAAAGCTTATCATTATCACAGACTATTTTAAGCTAAAAACAACTTAACTTTTATCACATAAAAATAACTCTACACTTTCACTCTACCTTCTCACACATTTTATGTCTTTGATAACACAGTTTACATCTTTTATATTATATATCCCTTAACAAATTATTGTAGCTATTAATATTTTGATAGTTTTATCTTTTAATCTTCATACTGAAAATATAAGTGATTTATACCCCATTACAGTATTAAAATATTCTGAATTTGACTATGTATTTATTTTTTCCAGTGAGTTTTATACTTCTATATATTGTTGTGTTACTAAGTTGGATCCTGTTCTCTCAGCTTCAAAAACTCCCTGTAGCATTTCTTATAAAACAGGTCTGGTGGTAATGGGCTCCCTTAGCTTTTGTTTGCCTGGGAAAGTCTTTATCTGTCTTTCATTTCTGAACAACAGCTTTGTCAGTGTTCTTGCTTGGCAAGATTTTTGTTTTCTGGTTGTTTTTTTCTTTTTTTCCCCTTCAGCCCTTTAAACATATTATCCCACTCTTTGCTGGCCTGCAACCCTTCTACTGAGAAATCTCCTTCTAGGCTTATTTAAATTCCTTTACATGGATTTTTTTTCTCATGATGATTTTAGGATTCTCTTTGTCTTTTTTTTTTTCAGTTTCATTATAAAATATGTTGGTACAGTCTTGTTTAGATGGAATCTGACTGGGGACTTTGGGACTGTACCAAAGGCCAGGTACTTTTAAATATCCAGGTACCTTTATCTTGTACCTGGATATTTAAATATTTCCTTATATTTGGACAATTTTCTGCTATCGTTTCCTGAAATAGCTTTATAGTACTTTGTCTCTCTCTTCTTCTCAAACTCCTACAACTTAAACATTTACCCTTCTGATGATGCCCCATAAATCCCATAAGTTTATTCATTCCTTATTCCTTTTTCTTTTTTTCTCCTCTGACTATGTATTTCCAAATGTGTGTTCAGATTATCACATTCTTTCTTCTACATGGTCAGTTCTGATGTCAATGCTCTCTATTGCATTTTTCATTTGTTCCACTGTATTTTTCACCTCCAGAATATGTTTGATTTCTGTTTACAATTTCAATCTCTTAGATTTCTTTTGTTGGTCATTTATTGTTTTTCTCTGATTTCATTTAATTGTGTCTTTGTATGTTTTTTGAAGTTTATTGAGCTTCTCTAAAATAATTTTAAATTATTTGTCAGACAGTTTGTATGTATATCTCCATTTCTTTGGGGTCAGCTTCTGAGAGATTATTGTGTTATTTGAGTTGTTTCATGTCTCCTTGGCTTTTCATGTTTCTATTGTCTTATGTTGATGTTTGTTTATTTGGTGTAGCAGCCACCTCTTGCAGACTTTAAAGGTTAGTTTTACTGTGGAAAAATTTCCTTTATGAAAGGGATACAAGGGCACTTGCTAGATATAGTACATTGGTTCTGCATTAGTGAATATTTCAGCTGTTTCGTCTCTGTACAGCTCTGGCAGCAAAAATCAGTGTTGATGAATATTGCAGGGATCCAGTATCTAATGCTATAAATTTTGCTGTAGCAGCAAGGCTCACTGGGGTCTTCAGTGGCAATAACTGCCAAGGTTGCTTTGCTCTCTTTTTCTCCCACTGGGGAGTTGTGGCTGAGGGGATTCTTCCTAACACAGGATCTGGCTTGTGCACTCACTTGCAGTAACGATGGCACCCTTGTCTGATGAGTGGCCCCTATGAAGAGGCCATGAAGTTGAGGCCGAAAACATTGTCACATATGGAAGAACAATGGTTTTGGGATCCAGGGCAGTATTGGTACTGGTGCCTAGGTTGCAGACACCTTTGCTGCTATGTTGGTGACAAAATGTGAGGTATGGATTGTTATGAAGCAGCTAGGGGAAGCAAGAATAAGAGCACCAGTGGGCACAGTATTAGAGTGGCTCTGGAGTTGGGCAGGGCCTTGCTCTTTATGGCAGCCAAGGTAGTGCCTGAAGTGTAGCCACATGCAGACCTTGACTCCAGACTTGGATTATGAACTACCTCTCTCTGGCAGTGGCTCTGATGTTTGAGATGTGGGTGCACACAATGCAGCCTTGTAGCCAGGATCCAAGGTATAAGCATGTGCTAGCCTCAGCATCTATAAGGTCAGGGTGAATCTTAGTAAAGCATCTACAGGGTCAGAATGAAGCTCTGTGGTGGCTGAGCTAATGCCTGGGGCATGAGCATAAGCAGCAAGAGCTTGGCTCCAGAACCCAATGTGCAAATTAGCTTACTACGGTAATGACTCCAATGTCTGAGACATAGGCAGATCCAGTGTAACCACAGAGTTCAGGTCTGGATGTGGACACCACAGAGTGGTCAAAGCTCTGTTGGTGCTCACTGGGCCCATGCTGGGTTCGGAAAGGTGGCAGTTCTTCTCCCAACATGGATAATCAGTGGCTGCTTATTAGGTACAAAGGGGTATGAAGCCACATCTCCCTCTCTAAGGTATCCTTGAGGGAATGGCTATTGGTTTCCTCAGTAGCAAGTGATGTCTATATTCTCTCAGGAGCAGGCTGCTATAAACCATGACGATTCCTGCTGCATGTCTGAAACTAAAAAGCTACATTAAAGTCCTGGTCTTCTAATTCCAACTTCTGACGCAGTTCATCTTCTGTATCTTCTATTATTTTTTTAATCATGGATATCATTTTCTTCTTTTTCAGATGTCTAATAATTTTTATTTTATATTGAATAATGTGGATAACACTTTGTAAAAACTGTAGGTTTTATTACCTTCCTCTGGGATGAGTTTATTTTCTTATTGGAGGCAATTATCTTTCTGGACTCAAATTCAAATCTCTACTTTTCTTGTGATAGTCTTTCAACCTTCCAGCTGGTATTTTTTGTTTGTTTGGTTTTGGTTTTGATTTTACTCATACATCTTCTTGTAGTCCTCTCTGACTGAGAACACTACAAAATTTGGCTGATCTTTCAAGGCCTAATTTTGATCAATGTTTACACACAGATTTTTGAATCCATCCTCTATTGTTACTTCCATTGCTAGTTTTTTTTTCTCTCTCTCACTTTCCACTACTCTGAAGTCTTGAATGCTATCCACCTCCTCAAGTCACTGTGATTGTACCCTGATGTTCAAGTTTTAATTATACCAAGACACTTGGACTTGGGAATATTCTCAGGTGAAAAGCTGTATAAAATTCAAATGCACTGTTTGGTGTTTTTCTTTCAAGGATTAATGCTGCTACAATTTTTGTTTTTGTCAGTAACCTTCGTCTTCATACTTACGTATGTTTTTTGTTTGGGTTTTTTGTTTGTTTGTTTGTTAGATTTTGTCCAAAGGTTATAATTGTCATCTGTAACTGTCAGAAGGATAGTCCAATAAAAGCTACTCTATCATTACAAAAAGCATAAGTTTGCAAGTTTTAAACTTGCAAAAACCAAATTTTTTCTGCCACGTTTCACAGGAGCACTAATAGCATTTTTTCTACTTTGAGCTAAAATTTTATACATTAAGTATACAGATCCTACTGATCTCATCTGTCTTCCAATAGTCTTTCAATGTATGTATTGTCAGGCACTTCTGTAAGTACTGGGGATATGATAGTGGATTACATAAAGCCTTGATCAATAGAACTTCTATCTAAGGACCATTATATTTAATTTTAACTTCAGAAAATGTAAGTTATAAAAACAGGTTAATTGAATAAAGAGCGATCAGGTTATAAGAGAGGTGGAAGGGAGGTTCCAAGGTGGCCAAATAGGAACAGCTCCAGTCTATAGCTCCCAGTGTGAGTGACGCAGAAGGCAGGTGATTTCTGCATTTCCAACTGAGGCACCAGGTTCATCTCACTGGGGCTTGTCAGACAGTGGGTGCAGCCCACGGAGTGTGAGCCGAAGCAGGGCAGAGCATTGCCTCACCCAGGAAATGCAAGGGGTTGGGGAATTCCCTTTCCTAGCCAACAGAAGCCATGACAGATTGTTCCTGGAAAATCGGGACACTCCCACCCTAATACTGCACTTTTCCAATGGTCTTAGCAAATGGCACACCAGGAGATTATATCCCATGCCTGGCTCGGAGGGTCCCATGCCCACGGAGCCTCACTCACTGCTAGCACAGCAGTCTGAGATTGAACTGCAAGGCAGCAACCAGGCTGGGGGAGGGGTGTCTGCCATTGCTGAGGCTTGAGTAGGTAAACAAAGCGGCTTGGAAGCTCGAACTGGGTGGAGCCCACTGCAGCTCAAGGAGGCCTGCCTGTCCCTGTTGACTCCACCTCTAGGGGCAGGGCATAGCTGAACAAAAGGCAGCAGAAACTTCTGCAGATTTAAACATCCCTGTCTGACAGCTTTGAAGACAGTAGTGGTTATCCCAGCACAGAGTTTGAGATCTGAGAATGGACAGACTTCCTCCTCAAGTGGGTCCCTGACCCCCGAGTAGCCTAACTGGGAGGCACCTCCCAGTAGGGGCCAACTGACACCTCATAAGGCCAGGTGTCCCTCTGAGACGAAGCTTCCAGAGGAACGAGCAGGCAGCAACATTTGCCATTCTGCAATATTTGCTATTCTGCAGCCTCCACTGGTGATATCCAGGCAAACAGGGTCTGGAGTGGACCTCCAGAAAACTCCAACAGACCTGCAGCTGAAGGTCCTGATTGTTAGAAGGAAAACTAACAAACAGAAAGGACATCCACACCAAAACCCCATCTGTACGTCACCATCATCAAAGACCAAAGGTAGATAAAACCACAAAGATGGGGAGAAACCAGAGCAGAAAAGCTGAAAATTCTAAAAATCAGAGCACCTCTTCTCCTCCAAGGGAACCCAGCTCCTCGCCAGCTTATTTCTTATTTAAGAAATTTCAAGCAAGGAGCATAAAGAGAGTTAAAGAAGAAAAGAATACACCTTCTTAATTGAAAAATAATCTCAAAATCCATTCGCTCCTAGAAAATAAAGCTCTGGCTTGTTCCCCTTTGCCTTGTTGCTAATAGTAGTCTTGAAGGCTAGTATTCTTTGTTAAGAAAGAAATTCTACTTTGGGGAAAATACTGAGAGTTTAAAATAGATTATTTTTAGATTAGCCAATTCTGTTTTAAGTTTCATTATTTGCTTTCACTTTATGGTAGAGTTTAAGTTCAAATAGTATAGATTTCAATGCATTTTATCATCTGTTAAATGTAAAGAATTTGTTTTAGAATGCTGACATGTTATTATAGCATTCTATAGATATGTTTCAGCATATATAGTAACAGATATTCTTCCAAATCCCTTTATCTTAAGTAGAAAGGATGACATGGGTTTTTCCATGTCTATAGTGGTATTAAGATATCAGTCAGTGTCAAATGCTATTTTAAATTTCTAGTATCCATTTTCTGTCTTGAATTCCTTTAATGCTGTGTATTTAGGTTGCACCTGAACATCTTCTAATCTTATAAGCTTGTGGCAGACTAGAAAGAAATCCATACATTTATTTATAGACTCATCATAGAATTGCACTAAATAGAAATATAAAACACACACGAAAAGAATGGTTTGCATTTTGGTGATGTCATACGCTTTGCACCAAATGGGCACTTAAATATGCTTAAATGAATGAATGAATGATTAGTGTCTCAGGGCTGCATTAAAGACCATCAAGTTTAACCTCAGCTTATCAAAGAAAAAAAGCCTAAGTCCAAAATATTTGCTCAAAAGTAAATACATTTCCCAAAGCTTTATTAATTTCAGACCAAGTCAAAGAATGGGTCTGATAATACCATCTGACTGGTTTTGCTCATATTAATTATGTTTAACATAGTTATATCCAACTACTCACATATATCCATTAAAATTGTGATTTATTCATCTATTTTTTAAAAAAATCTCTGGGCATTCCCCAAATACTAAGCATGACCCAAGGTACTATGGATACAGGAGTGGGGGAAACATAGTCTTTATGCTTCAGTTGCTTAGAATCTGGTGGAGAGAAATATACGTATAACCTAATTGAAGGGGCAGATGTGCTATGACAAAGAAAGGGACAGTTTTATGAGTACCCAGAAGAAGGATACAATGGTTCTACCTGAAAAAAAACAGTAACTGCTCCTCAGAAAAGGTGAGTTGTTGTTGGGTCTTAATGTTAAGTAAGAATATGATAGCCTCAAAACATGCAAACAGGAACACACAGGCACCAAAAGTGTGAACGCTTAGAACATATTTGACGGGATGCCATACATACAAAGCAGTGGCAGAGTTGAGGCTAGATGTGTGCATCAAAGCCAGATTCTAGAGAATCTTGTAAGGGGCCAGACTTCAGAAGAAATATAAACTTCAAAGGATATTTTAGTATCAGAACACAGATTAGTGTTTTTAAAAAATATCAGTTGACAGTGAGAAGGATGGATTTGTGATAATGGAGAGACAGAGGCAGTGAAAGGAGTAAAGAGGCCAATGCAAGACTCCAGATGGCAGATGATGAGGGTCTGGACAACGAGTAAGAGAAACTAAGCCCTGGGTGGATGATTGGATCAAGCAAGGAGATGAGGGGGAAGATTAAGGTAATTAAGATCTGAGGGTTCTCTAGGACGACTTGTTGCGTTAATTTTCTTTGCTGATATTCTTGAAAATATATAGACTAATTGCTTTAATCCAAGTAAAAGCCAAAATCCTTGCAACACTCTAGGAAACCTGCATGATATGGCTCCTATTGCCTTGTTAACCCCATCTCCCACACTTTATCCCCCCTCACCACCAGCTCTGCTGCAGCCACACTGGCATCCTTTTTTTCCCTCAAAAATGCAAGCCATAGTCCACCTTTGAACTTTCCTGACCCAATTGCTTGAAACTGCAGCCCTCTCCTTCAGCATTACTATCTCCCCTGCTTCAGGTTTTTCATATGTGTGTGTGTGTGTGTGTGTGTGTGTGTAATTGCTGTCATCTTGCCCTACTAAGTTGTTAACTCTGTGAGGACTACGGTTGTTTTCAGGTTTTGTTCACAATTATATCCCAGCACATAGAAGAATGTCCAATAGGTGTTCAATACATATTTGATTAATATTCCCTTAAGCAGAAACATTAATTAATGTTTCAAAAAATGTTAAGCAATGTTTCTAAATTTGACAATTTACATGTCTTTATTCCAGACAGGGCATAGGAAGGGAAGGAATTTGCCTTTTACCATCTTCACTTACTTCCAGACAATGTGCTTGATGAGTCTATTTTTAGTTTAGTTCAGGCTTTCACCTCTGCCTTTTACATGGCTTTTAGAATCTGAAAAATGTTGACTAGACTTATGGTGTTCATATTAAAGGGTTTTATTTTTCATTGTCATGGAGTCTATCTTAAACCTTAACCCTTGATAGTATTATTTAATTTATACCTCAAGTCTCTATGTAAATTCACTCCCATCTCCATTCTAGAAATTTTTCAAGCACACATTCTTCTTCCTTCACTTCAATATCCCTATTACTACTCTCTGAAAATTTACAATAAAGTAAATCCTCTTTTATTCTTCTACTACGGTTTCCTCTTCCATCTAGACAACTGTATCTAACCTCACAGCTACTCTTACATTCTCAGAATAAAGAAGAAAGTGCTATTATAAAAAGATGGTACACCTTATAACCTTATTTAGATGCTTCATAGTATACACTATCTTCATTTAAAATTAAATTAAAATTGAAACAAAGCTTGTTATTACAGTGTTAGAGGGAAGAAAACACAATTATTGAGCTAATACTCTTTGCCAAGACCTGGAGCTAGGCAAGCCTATACATATTATGTTACTACTTTGCACAGATCATACAGATCTACATAATGTAGTTGTAATTGACCTTTGTTGTTGTTGTTGTTGTTTTTTAGAGTTGAGGATACTTAGGCTAAAAGAGGTTTAATAACTTGCTGATGGTTACATGGCTACTACATGACAAGACAAAAATTTCAATCTAATTCCGATGCTAAAATTCAAACTTATTGTAAGGGATGGAAGAACTGTTGTGATAACATTTTTAGGCTATCTCTAACATTGCTTTGAGCATTAATATTCCATGGGTCTAGAAATCCACACAGTGATATTTGCCTATGACTACAGTAATTTCAAAACAAAGCAACCTCAAATTAATATTTATTTTAACAACTAAGGTTAAGCAAAGATAAAAAAAATCACCTCAAAAATTTCTAAGAAGACAATAAAAGTATCACTCCAGAGCTGAAAAAGTAAAAAGTCCAATTCCTAATTACTTTTCCACCACATTCCAAGTCTATTTATGACAAGTGTTTGGAGTTTAAGTGACAAGATTTAGACTAGTGGACAAGCCATGCTTTAAATTAATATCATATCAAATATCATCAGAATGCATAGTATAAACTTGGGTACTCACAGCATGCCTCGTCATCACAAAGGCATGCTATTATTGCCAAGTTGAGATGCGTAAGTGTGCTTGTACTCTGCCCTTCAGCTTCAAAGCAGAGTTGCTGAGGATCAAGACACCAACATTATAGCCACTGGTAATCCCAGTTAACTCCCACGGCCCAGTGTGCTATCCCCATATACGGCAATGGCATGCCCTGTGATTCAAAGCCAAGGGGCTCTGCAAATAAAGCAGGGTCTGGGAGGCCCACAGGTCACGAACATTGAGCTCCACACAGGCAAGAGAACAAATGTCCCATTCTTCGCATTTGTCAAATATGCCTCTCATGAAGTAAAGAATAAAGTTCCTTCTGAGATAATGCCCACCCCATTACCACAACAAATAAACCCCCAAGGTTAAAAAAAAAAATGGAACGTTTGCGCTTGAAGGGAAGTTGAAGTTACTTAACAAGCTCTCCTTGATTTATGTGATCATAAGTAAGTACGTGGCCAGCATAAAGGTGCAATGAGGTTGAAGAAGAATCAGGGCCCCAATTGTCTTTCTTTTCATCTGTTTCTGAGGGTGATATTACCAAATGGTTAAGAGCTCTACATTAGGGTATAATACTCATGATTTGCAATTCTGCTTCTGTTTATGTTACCTGTATGCGTGATTCTAGGTCCATTATTTGCATCTCATTGGTGAAGATTAAATAGGATCCTGCATGAAAGTTATTGCCATCAGAATTCATAAAAGGTGGGTGTTTAATAAAAGCTAACTAGTGAGATAAATTATATTATTTATTCGCAATATCAAATATAACATGAATTATTATTAATAAGGCAAAAATAGGAAGAGTAGTTTATGCCTTTGTTCTTTTGGAGTATTACTTTATTCTGTACGTATTGTAAGAAATTTCTGAGATCCCCCAATGTGACTGTGGATGCTTGACCCAGCATTTCTGTCATTAACCAGCATCACTCCTCCCACAGCCTGCAGAAAGTCCAATTAATTTCAATTAAATTAAAATTTAATTTTAATGAAAGTAATTAGAAGGACCTACGTTTGTAAAATGTGGTAACTAGATTTATCAAACAACCGTAACATATAGCACATTACACTCAGAGCAAATCCTAGTGAAGTTTGGCAAACATGTCTCCCCCTTCCTCTTCTGAAACCTTATTCCCTTCTTTTGAGTCTGCCTCTTACTGAACCACACGAGCCGAGGTTCCCCTTCATTCCATGAACATTTGCAACTTCCCTGTATTACGTCTCACTGACTTTGAATAAGCAAAACATTAGAGGTCTGAAAAAGACCAACAGACTAACCCTCAGATGTTGTAATTCATAATAGAATAATGTGTGAGCCTTCCCAGGGTCACTTGCATTTAAAGGTATTGATGGTTTAGCAAAGAAATTATCCTTCAGTTGTAGAATTTAAGTAAGAGGAATATATTTTGAGGCAAATTGTTTTTCCAGTTCCTCCTAGAAAATGTCATTTCAAGATCTGCTTACTCTGTTGATGATGTTAGGCAAAATCTTCTTGGAAAAAAAAAACCAACAACTTCGTAAAGCTGAAAAGGAAATGACCTTCCTGGATGTTTAATTTGCTGTTTTATGATTCAGTCTCCTGAATAAAACTAAGGCTACTAGGCATCTATCTCAACAACAATGAAAGAATGAATGAGGTCTTCTCCATGACACTCTATGGCAAGATTGCTCATGTGCCTGTACTGACTTTAAGTCAGCCCAGCAATTGAGCACTTGCTATACGCGAGACATGCTAGGCATCATGGGAACAGAAAAAAAAATTTTGGGTCAAGTGACATGTACTCAGTGGCTTTTCTCAGTAAGATTTAACCTTATTTACCTATTTTTTATTGGTAGACGTCGGTACTTACTACATTGAATTATGTTGTCAATTGTGTCTGCCTTCCTCATTAGATAAGCTATCCCTCCACGGCAGGCACCATTTGCTAGATGCATCTGTAGGCCCAACACTTAACATAGTACCTGGTTCTTAGTAAATACTCATTGATACCTAGGCCTGAAAATCCCAACACTGTATTGCCCAGAGCTGATAAGCAGGTGCCAGTGAATGAATTCTCTGGGTTTAAAAGCCCACTTCCAAAATGAAGAAATTAAGTTACTGTAATGAAGCCCTGGAGTCAAAACAGAAATTTAACACATATTAATTATTATCTGTATGTTTCAAGATAAAGTTTAAGACATATTGTTAATATTTTTCTACTTTACAGATTAATATTTAAAGACATAATAATGTAAAATTACATCACCCACACAAATACTCTTTCCTGAAAAAATAAAATTATATGAAACACAATGCAAAATTCTATAAAACAATTATTTAAAATTAGGGTGTACCTTCATTATTTTATTCCTGATAAGACTGATAATATCTTACCAGATTTAAGGACTTCAGGCTTTAAAAAAATACTTTTTTCTCCTAAAAAACCTTGGAAATTGTGGATTTGCCAATTGATTTTCATGTGGATTATGAACATTTTTGAAGTACAGGTGTTCCTTATGTCTAAAAGTCATTAGAGAAAATTATCTTATCATAGCATCTATACATAACAAGGCAATGAATTCAGAAAATTTCTTTATGTTTGAAATTCTAATATCCTCATGCCATTTTTATATCTTAGCTCTCTCTGGTTTGTAGTCTTTCTTCTCACCTCATTCTGCTCACAACTTGTCACCAAAATATAATTTAAGAACATGTTTATTTAAATGATCATTTCCTTAAAAAGTACTAAAACCCTCTTTGAATTTACAAAAAGAAAAAAAGCCTCCCCTTTTCTACCTGTAACTTAACAGAGCCTAAAATGAATCAATTTTTCTTTGAGCCCATAAAAGCATATCAAATTCCCAATGCAATCAATACTTATCTCACTTCTATATTGTATACAATATCACTTGTGATTACAGGTTATTTTTTTAAGTGGAATATTCTTTTTCCTCAGTTGACTTGAAAGCATACCTTTCCTTGATTTTTTACATTCATTTTGACATTAAAATGAAATATAATTTCTTTTGAATACACTTCAAAGAGCACTAGCATTGTAAGAAAAGTAACTGTCTTCAATTATCCTTGGAAATATTTGCCATCCTTTTCACCTTGAATCAGTGACTTAGCTTTACCTGACTCAAACAAATGCAACAATTGCTCTGGCGTTAGTACTAGGAAAGTGTTCACAGAGAGCATGACTAGGAACACACGTAAGTTTCTATGTGTGTTTTTGTGAGTATTCTATTTTTCTTCAGTCTCTAACTTGAGTCATTTCATTGTTATTGTCAAAATATTGGGATTCCTGGAACATTCTGATGTTTTAAGGCACAAACAAAGTAGAATATCTAAAATCAGGACTATTCTGGAAAATTTTTCAATCTGATTTAAGAATAACAACACAAATAAATAATACATAATGTTTTGTAGAGAAATCTTCACAATAACAGCTGACAAGATAGCCCAGAACTGGCCACTGAATTTATACTCCTTGCTCAGAAAAAAAGAAGCACTATGACTACTTGAATAATAATAAATATCCATAATCAGTGCTTATTTGCCAATCAACTATTGTCAGTTGTGTATGTTATTTCAGGAGGAAGAAGATTATTATTCTAAAAGTATAAATTTGCTAACTTTTCTTGTATTCAAGTTGCAGAGAAAACTCTTATGTGAACAGCAGGGTGGCTAGGCCCAGACTGGCTGCAGTCACTTTCATCAAGGCTTTGAAATAATGCATCATGTGACCACACAGGTCCACAAGCTAGTCCTCCTTATAAAGCTGCAATGTGACTGAGGCTATACAATTCCTAGTTATTGTAATATAATTTGTGGTCCACGAAACAAGAAACTAGAGGTAAAGTTAGAAGTTGAACATGATATCTAGATAGTAGATCCAGGTGATGCAGCTTGCTAAAGTTAGAGTTCCAAGTTCTATGATTGGGAGTAATGAAGCTCAGCAAGCTCCTTCTTGGGACAGGGCTATTGCAGGACTTTTCCCTGGACAAGTAGAATACCACTGCCACCAATCAACCATGTCTGCTCTGGGGAACTGGGATTTCTGAGGAGCCATACCCAGTCCACATCAATAGGCCTGCTGGGTGTTGCTAAGAATACATCCTTTTAGCTTATCCCAATGAACTATAACTTCTAAAAGAAAAACGTATAAATGGGCCAGGCATAGTGGCTCACGCCTGTAATCCCAGCACTTTGGGAGGCTGAGGCGGGTGGATCAGCTGAGGTCAGGAGTTTGAGACCGGCCTGGCCAACATGGTGAAACCCCGTCTCTACTAAAAATACAAAAATTAGCCGGGCATGGTGGCAGGTGCCTGTAATCCCAGCTACTCGGGAGGCTGAGGCAGGAGAACCATTTGAACCCAGGAGGTGGAGGTTGCAGTGAGCCAAGATCATGCCATTGCACTCCAGCCTGGGGACAAGAGCAAGACTTTGTCTCAAAAAAAAGAAAAAAAGAAAAATATATTAATGAATTTGACCTTTCCATATTGTCTAACCCATTAAATATTTTCCCTTTGTTTACAGCTGTATATTAATGATACACAATATAATTTTAATACAAGGAGGAAAATAGTACATATGTGAACATGAACTAACTGATCGTCTAATACCAGCTCTATTTCCGGATGGCTGTCTGTATCACAAGATTTGAACTGAAATTCATGTCAAAACATATGTGTGTCTCATAAAAATTTAATAATACTTATTTTATTAGGAGAGTCCAGGATATCCTCAGGAGACATTAGATTCAATCTGGAGTTTAGGGTTCCAAAATGAAACAAGACATAGCCATGTGGTATGGGGCTGCTACTAGTAGGAATAGAACTAACAGCCCACATTACCTTCCCCTAGAAGTGATTGGGCTGGATTAGGACTGTTCCAGTTTGAGCATGTAGGATTCAAATAGCTATTAAATTATCTTTATTCTAAGACAATGAAACCAAAAGTCAAGGACATTTGGTTTTACACTGGGTTTTGCCATGAGCTAGCTTTAAAACCTTATAAATTAATTTCTTAATTTATGCAATAATTTATGGACTGCCAATTCTGTGTCAGACACTGTTCATTACTGGAGATAGAAGCAAACAAATGCTAGAAGATCCTTGCCCTCATGAACCTTACGATCAAACAGGGATGACAAATATTAAATATTATCACATAATGTACAATAAATACTATAAACAAAAATTACAGTCAGTTCAGGATTCTAACAGGGGGCCTGTTGAGTTAGGGAAGGCCTTTCTGAGATAGTGACATTTAAACCAACAGTTCTAAATTTTGCACATTAGAATCACCTGGGGAGCTATAAAAACTATGAGTGTCTGGCCCTACTCCAGATAAAAAGAACTGAAGCTAAGAATGAGGTCTGGGTAGTAGCATGTATTAAAATTTCTCCTGAGTGGTTATTATTTATGACCAGCATTGAGGGCCACTGATTTCAGCAGATACTGGAAAGCAGGAAGAAGCTGAGTAGAAAGAAGAAAAAAAAATGTTTTCAAGGCAGAAAAGCCCTCCTTTGGCAAAGCACAGGAAACAGCCTGCCATGTTTAGGAATTAAAAAGCAGGCAGTGAGAAATGGACTAGGCAGGGACTTTGGAGCTGGGTCCCTATGTAAGCAATTTGAAAGATTTGGAGTTTTGTCCTAAGTACAATGGAAACCTATTAAGCATTAGGAGGGAATTGATGTGACCAGTTGTTAGTGATCACTGTAGCTCCTCTCTAAAAAAAAGTATTGGTTAATAAGGAGATGAGAGAGGATGATGATGGCTTGCACTGGACTTGCAACAGTAGAGATGGAGAGAGAATTATATTAAGCCGTTTCAGAAGTAGAGCGGATGCTTTGCTGAATAAAATAAAGGAAGGTGAGGGAGAAGTGTGAGAAAAGATTCCCAGGTTTATGGTTGGAACAGCTGGGCAAAAGAATACACATTTGCTGAGATATTTAACACTGAAGGAGAAGATGAGGGGTTGGTTTGTACCTGTAAATTTAAGGTACCCGTGAAACATTCGAGTAAAGGTGTCAAGTAGGCTGTTGGATATATGGGTCTTAGGAAAATGTCTAGAGATGCTAATTTAGAAGTCAGATGCATATATATAGTATTTGAAGTTATGTGTGGTATAAAAGCCTGGAGAGAGCATAAGAGAACTCAGGTAGTTTCAATCTCATTTTAATGATTATTAAATGAAAGAACTGGAAATGAGCAGTGGTTCTCAAACTTCAGTGTGCCTCAGAGCCATCCATAGAGAGTGTTACGACATTCATTGTTTTAATCAGAAACATACAGTTTCTGATTTTGTGGGTCTGGAATGGGGCCTGTGAATTTGTATCTCTAACAAGTTTCCCAAATTACACTAATGCTTCTGGTAGAGGCCAGACTTGAGTGCTAGTTGGTCTAAGATTTCACTTCCTTCTCTATTATTCTATGGTAACAACACCGTCATCTGCAAAAATACACAGGAAAACTTGTCCAAATACAAGACAGAGATTTCATTATTGCAAGATGAAAGGATTTTAAAATGAAAAGATAGAGACATGATCACAGGAAAGATAGGTTAAGAGATGTTTTATGTCTTCCTAATTTGTTTTCAAAATGTTGGACAAATAGAAAAGTTGATAAATACATATTGAGCATCTTCTTCATGCAAAACATTTTATAGCAAGATGAATCTCTAACTCTCTCAAAGTAAGGTGTATACATTATCCTGTTAGTGTTGCAGTTGTTTTTGAGGAACATGAAGAAATTTAGAGATTTCATTTATTTAAGCATCATTCTTTCATACATTGTAAAAGGAGCGTGAAATATGAAAAGGGAGAGGGGCAACCCAGACCACAATATAGATTTTTTTTTTTTTTTTTTTTGAGACGGAGTCTTGCTCTGTTGCCCAGACTGGAGTGCAGTGGCACGACCTCAGCTCACAGCAAGCTCCGCCTCCCAGGTTCACGCCATTCTCCTGCCTCAGCCTCCCAAGTAGCTGGGACTACAGGCACCCGCCACCACACCAGGCTATTTTTTTTTTTTTTTGTATTTTTTAGTAGAGACGGGGTTTCATAGTGTTAGCCAGGACGGTCTCGATCTCCTGGCCTCTTGAACCGCCCACCTTGGCCTCCCAAAGAGCTGGGATTACAGGCGTGAGCCACCGCGCCCGGCCAATACAGACATTTTGCATCCTGTACACACACATGCATACAAGATCAATTAATATTGTGAGAATATTGTTTTACTTTACTCTTACTATTGTAATTCATCTAATTCATGCTTGACATTAAATAACTATCTCATCATTTACAGGAAGGTTTAAAGTACATGACTGTTATTAGCTATTGGCAACTAAAATTTATTTTTAAAAAACACTCCTTTGCTAGATTTCTCCACTGCCACATCATCAAAGTTTGATTATACATTTTTCATAGAATTGTCAGGATAGATAAGTTATTCAACTTCAACTTAGCTTTTCTGTGGATGGTTCATGGATAAGTAAAGCTGATGCTTCCAAAAGGAGGCAGGTAAGCCAACTTTCCATACCTACTCGAGAGAACTATCTCCATGCTTCTACTTTCTAAAGAAGCATAGTGATCATATCAATGCAGACATGCCCACAAACTCTTCCTCCAAAATCCTAATTTTCTACAAGGTTGTGTTTGTGTTCAGGCATAAAAATCACAAGGTACCTGATGCAGATGAGGGGCTCATTCTGTGAAAAAATGAAATAGATCCATTTTAGAGCCATGCTAAAGTGAATATCAACTCCCCCAAGTTGGGTGAGGCATTTGCTCTGATTTTTAAAATATCACCAAATAAAAGTTTCAGGCTACCAAGAGACAAAAAAACAAAGATTTTTTTTCTGTTCCTTTTCTTCCTATACAAGACACACAAATAAAATTTTCATTGCTTTCAGCCCTCAGCTGAAGGTGGGCTTACTTTAAACAGTTAAAGTTCAGGACCCTTAAATTGGTAAACTAACTTGGACAAAATGGCATACCCTACAGGCAATGTCTTATGCACACAGAGCAAGTATTTCAAACAGAAGGGGTAGTCTGCCCCGCTTTTCTTATCTCCCAGTGAGAGAAGTCATAAGTCTTAGGTGATATCCAGTCACACTCTTACTTCATTTGAGGTGTCTTCAATGTGACATCCAAATACAGTTCCTAACCTCAGTTAATGGGATAACTTCTCTCTATTCTCTAGCAGAAATAGTATGCTGTAAGTAAGCAGATTTCTGGACAATGAGGGTCTTCTCATGAGAGTTATGCCAGCATTACACACCCTGTTCCCTTGCTGAATAACAAGTGAAGGGGCATAAAATCTTGGTGACACTTAATGTTTCTGAAATCATTCATTTCCCATGAAAAAAAAGTATTACTTTTTATAGGTGTTCAGTCTATTAATTTTAATTATGAAGTCTTCAGTCCCGTAAAGGGAAATTTGACTGAGGTATCCTATTACATAAGATTAAGAGTTTGACAAAGACATGGAAACATAATTAACAGAATGTTCTGAACAAAAATAATGAAACAGCAGAGGTACAGAATATATATATATATATATATATATATATACACACACACATATACATATATGATATGTAAATAGATATAAACACAATATTTTTTGAAACTAGGTAGGTGTGTTAGTTCAAGACCTCTGAGAAACAGATGTCAAGACAGGATTAGATATACAAGAGATTTACTGGGAATATTGGTATAAGAGTCCCATTTCCCTTTCCTATCTAATAAATGATAACCCCACTCCTAATTCTTGTTTAGTAATATTCTTTCCAACAATTACATTTCAGATGGAAAGAAGATCATTTTTTAGCTGCATTAGTAAAAATACAACCAGTATTCACTGAGTTCCAAATTCCTAGCACACTGTGCCATATATTTCACATGTACTATGTCATTTGATTCTCACAACAAACCTTTATAGGGGAGGAGGTGATATTTGTATCCTCATTTAACAGATAAGAAAATTGATTTAAGCAGTTGACTCAAAGGCTACAGCTAATAAACGTTTAGGTTTTAGTCTAGGTATTCTGTTACCATAGCCCCCCATTCCCTTAAACTGATTTGTCTCCTTAAACAAATGAGGGAATCAGCAAATTTATAAACAAGCATTTTAGGTACCTACTATATTCTAGGTGCTGCAGAGAATGCTAAAATAAAAACAAGGATTACTCACTTCTATGGCCTTACAATGCAAGGTTGCAACCAGGAAGACACATCTTTTACAGATAAATTTTATAAGAGACTGTGTAAAATTAAGTTCTATATTATCTGGCATATTCTGGAAGTACTGTCGGAATTCAGCGGAAAAATTATTAAATAAGTACTGAAGTGAAACAGAGCAGGATTCCTAAGGAGATAGGATTGGAACTCTTTGGATTGGGCATAGAGTTTAAATTGGCAGAGGGTACATGAGAAGGCCTTACAGCCCAAGAAAAAAACAGGAACAAAAATTTAAGGGCAAAAATGAGTGGCATAGTTTTAGCATTTTAAGGGATCGAGGACACAAGACAGGCAGCATATCTACCCAGTTACAGTGAAAGGTTAATTTTGGAAAGCCAGGTGTTCTATAAATGTTCTCCAAGTAAGTACATCAGTGAATAAGTGGATGACTAAATGATGACTATATTTCCAAAATTATAAAAGGACAAATTGTTAAGATTAAATTATCACTTTAAATTTAATTCCTTCTGTCTTTTTTTCCCTGTCTTTAATGATTAAATGCTGTTAAAAAGTTAAAACAGAAAATGAAATCTCTAAAGTATACCTTCTATTTTGACTGGTTTTACTTCCAAATACACCATTAAAAATCAGAAACCTAGAACCCTAAGAGAAAAGTCTACTTTATCTATTTCTCTGATTTCACCCACTCTGTGATTTTAATGAGAAAAGAAGTCACTAGTAATCTCCCTTATTGAAGCTGAATCTTAAAAAGAAAATTTCTCCCAAGGGATGGGCAATATCAGGGAAATATGAAAAACATAAGGGAAGAAAATGAATTACACATTTTTAATGAGAAAAAGAAACCTGAACACCCAAGTATTCTCTTTTAAATAAATTGAGAAACATTCGCCATATATATGTGGGAAGTTAATGGTAAGTTGATAGGTCAATTTAAAATTTATAATGTGAAGCATTGTTCCAGGGTTGAAGGAATTGGGGTCAGAGAATACAAACTCTCTTTCTTTATCAAGCAATAGATCATGCAATGACAGCCTGTGCGAACAAGCAGCATCTTCACAATCTCAAGGCTATACAAGAAGGTCAGCATGTGGCACAGCATTCTTTGTTTCCTATCTCCAATCAAGCTTAGGATGTTTTGTGCGTAACAATGTGAGAAAGAAAAAAAATAAAAAGACTTAAAAGTGACCTTTGCCATGAGGGAAAAACTCCCTACTATTCAATTTGCACTATTCATTCAGCCAATTCTCCACCCTTACCAATGAAACATCCAGCAAAAATAATGGATGCAGGCGAAAAGAAAATTCAAACCCTTCAAACCTCATACTCCCTGACACTATGAAGCCAGTGACAGAAAATGCAATTAGTGAACTAGGAAATTTGTTAAAAGAACCTCTTAACCAATAAAGTTCAATACTTCCAGGCCTGGGACATCAGCTGTGGTATTGCTTTGTTAGCAGAGATTCTCATGACAACATGGGACAGCAATTCCCAATTAAAACATTTTAAAAGGCCAGGTACAGTGGCTCATGCATGTAGTTTCATTGCTTTGGGAGGCCAAGGCAGGAGGATCACTTGAGGCCAACAGTTTGAGACCAGCCCAGGCAACATAGTGAGACCCCTGTCTCTACAAAATAAAGAAAAAAAAAATAGCAGAATGTGGTAGTGTGTACTTGTAGTCCTGGCTATTCAGGAGGCTGAGGTGGGAGGTTCACTTGAGCCCAGGAGTTCAAAGCTGCAGTGAGCTATAATCATATCACTGAGCTCCAGCCTGGGCAAAAGAGCAAGACCCTATCTCCAAAAAATAAAAATTAAAATTAAAGCAATTTAATAAGAAAACAAATTATGTTTTCCTAACCAGAGAATCTCCAATGGCTATTTATATTGATGGAAAGACAAATAAATCTTATTATGGTATCTCCCAAAGTGTGTTAAATGAAACACTGATTCCATTAGATGTTTACAGCTCTGACAGAACGAAATGGTTCTGTGATTAAAAGTCTGCGTGAAACAAAATGGCTTTACAACTGAGTTTCTCTGACTCCTTCATATGATGATGTGCACTGTTAATATCAGGGGGAAATAGTATGTGGTATTTTCCCAATTTGCTTGACTGAAGAACCCATTTTTAATGGAGCATAAGATAAACATCCTGATAGTCTGGTTCAGGCATTTTTTAAAAGGAGGTGGAAGAAGAACATGAAACCACTAATGATGAGGCAATTCATTTTACTTTTTTACATTCCAACTTTATTTTAGGTCAGGGGTTAAATGTGCAGGTTTGTTACAAGGATAAATTGTGTGTTGCTGGGGTCTGGTGTGCAAATTGTTTTATCACCCAGGTAGTGGGCATAGTATTTGATAGGTAGTTTTTCAATCTTTACCCGTCTCCCAACCTCCACCCTCAAGTAGGCCCCAGGGTTGTTCTCTTCTTTGTGTCGTTGTGTACTCAATGTATAGCTCCTACTTATAAGTGAGAACATGCAGTATTTGGTTTTCTGTTTCCTTTCTTAATTCACTTAGGATAACAACTTTCAGCTGCGTGAATATTACTGCAAAGGACATGACTGTGTTCTTTTTATGGCTGCATAGTATTCCACAATGTATATATGCCACATTTTCTTTATCCAGTCCACCATTAATGGGCATCTAGGTTAATTCCTTCACAATCTTTGCTATTGTGAATAGTGCTGTGATGAACATACGGGTGCATGTGTCTTTATGATAGAACAATTTATATTCATTTGGGTATGCACCCAGTAATAAGAATGCTGGGTAAGATAGTAGTTCTGTTTTAAGCTTTTTCAGAAATCTCCAAACTGCTCTCCACAGTAGTTGAACTAATTTACATTGCCACCAGTAGTGTATAAGTGTTCTCTTTTCTCTGCAACCTTGCCAGCATCTGCTGTTTTTTAACTTTTGAATAATAGTCACTCTAACTGGTACGAGATGGTATCTCATTATGGTTTTGATTTGCATTTCTCTAATGATTAGTGATGTCGAGCATTTTTTCGTATGCTTATTGGCCATGTGTATGTCTTCTTTTGAGAAGTGTCTGCTCATATCCTTTGCCCACTTTTTTATAGAGTTGTTTGTTTTTCTCTTGTAGATTTGTTTAAGTTCTTTATAGATTCTGGATATTAGACCTTTGTCAGATGCATAGTTAGCAAAAATATTCTCCCATTCTATAGATTGTTTACTCTCTTGATAGTTTCTGCTGTGCAGAAGCTGTTTCGGTTAATTAGGTCACATGCAACAATTTTGTTTTGTTGTAATTGCTTTTAGAGTCTTTATCATAAAGCCTTTGCCAGGGCCTATGTCCAGAATGGTATTTCATACATTTTCTTCTAGGATTTTTATAGTTTTATAATTTTAGGTTTTACATTTAATTCTTTAATCCATCCTGAGTTAACTTTTGTATATGGTCAAAGGTAGAAGTCCAGTTTCAATCTTCTGCAAATGGTTAACCAGTTATCCCAGCACCATTTATTGAATAGAGAGTCCTTTCCCCATTGCTTATTTTTGTCAGGTTTGTCAAAGATTAGATGGTTTTAGATGTCCAGCTTTACTTCTGAGTTTTCTAACTTGTTCCATTAGTCTATGTGTCTGTTTTTATACCAGTACCATGCTGCTTTGGTTACTGTAGCCTTGCAGTATAGTTTGAAGTCAGGTAACATGATGCCTACCACTTTGTTCTTTTTCTGAGGATTGCTTTAGCTATTTGGGCTCTTTTTTTGGTTCCATATGAATTTTAGAATGGTTTTTTGCAAATTCTGTAAAAAAATGTCCTTGGCAATTTCATAGGAATATCGTTGAATATGTAAATTGCTTTGGGCAGTGTGGCCATTTTAACAGTAATGATTCTTCCTATTTATGAGCATGGAATTTTTTAAATTTGTTTGTGTCATCTCTGATTTTGTTCAGCAGTGTTTTGTAATTCTCATTGTTGAGGTGTATCTCCTCTTTGGTTAGCTGTATTTCTAGGTATTTTATTCATTTTGTGGCTATTGTGAATGGAATTGCACTCTTGATTTAGCTCAAAACTTGGATGTTATTGATGTATAGAAATGCTACTGATTTTTATACATTGATTTTGTATCCTAAAGCTTTATTGAAGTCATTGATCAGATCTTCTATTAAGTTCTTTTTATTTCTTACTCTTGCCTGGTTGCTCCGGCTAAGACTTCCAGAACTATGTTGAATAGGAGTGGTGACAGTGAGCATCCTTGTCTTGTTTTGGTTCTCAAGGAGAATGCTTCCAGCTTTTTCCCATTCAGTATGATGTTGGCTGTGGGTTTATCATAGATAGTTCTTATTATTTTGAGGTATACTCCTTTGATGCCTAGTTTGTTGAGGGTTTTTAACATGAAAGGATGTTGAATTTCATCAAAAGCCTTTTCGGTGTCTATGGTGATGATTACATGGTTTTTTGTTTCAGTTCTGTCTATGCGATGAATCACATTTATTGATTTGCATACATTGAACCAATCTCAGTTATAAAGTCTACTTTATCTTGATGATTAACTTTTTGATGTGCTGCTGGATTTGGTTTTTTAGTATTTTGTTGAGGATTTTTGCACTTAGGTTCATCAGAGATATTGCCTGAAGTTTCCTTTTTCATTGTGTCTCTGCAAGTTTTTTTATATCAAAATGATACTAGAGTCATAGAATGAGTTAGGAAGGAGTCCCTTTTCCTAGATTATTAAAAATAGTTTCAGCAAAATTTGTACCAGCTCTTCTTTATACATCTGGTAGAATTCAGCTGTAATTTTGTCTGGTCCAGGGCTTTTTCTGGTTGGTAGCTATTTTGTTACTGATTCAACTTCAGAACTTGTTATTGGTATGTTTAGGGTTTTAATTTCTTCCTGGTTCAGTCTTGGGTGATTTTATCTTTCCAGGAATTTATCAATTTCTTCTAGGTTTTCTAGTTTGTGTGCATAGAGCTGTTGTGTGCGTAAGTCTCTGAGTTTTTTTTGTATTTCTGTGGGGCCAGTGGGAATGTCCCCTTTGTCATTTCTGATTGTGTTTATTTGGATCTTCTCTCTTTTTAAAATTAGTCTACCTAGAGGTCTACCAATCTTATTTATTCTTTCAAAAAACCAAATTTTGGTTTCATTAATCTCTCATATGGACTTTTGCATCTCAATTTCATTCAGTTCAGCTCTGATTTTCGTTCTTATCTTCTGCTAGCTTCAGAATTGGTTCTTCTAGTTTCTCTAGGTGTGATGTTAGGTTGTTAATTTGAAATCTTTCTAACTTTTTTTACGTGGGCATGTAGTGCTGTAAACTTTCTTCTTGACATTGTTTTAGCTGTGTCCCAGAAATTCTAGTATGGCGTATGTCTGTTTTCATTAGTTTCAAAGAATTACATTATTTCTGCCTTAATCTAGTTGTTTAACCAAAAGTCATTCAAGAGCAGATCATTTAATTTCTATATAATTATATGATTTTGAGAGATCTTCTTTGTATTAATTTTTCTGGCTTACTGTGCTGTGGTCCAATAGTGTGGTTGGTATGATTTCAGTTTTTTTTTTAATTTGTTGAGAATTGCTTTATGGCTGAGTGTGTCATCAATTTTAACATGTCATATGTGAATGAGAACAATGTATGTTCTGTTGTTGTTGAGTGGAGTATTCTGTAGATGTCAACTAGGTATAATTGGTCAAGTGTTAAATTCAGGTCCTTAATATCTTTATTAGTTTTCTGCCTCGATAATCTGTCTAATATTGTCAGTGGGGTGTTAAAGTCTCCCACTATTATTGTGTGGTTATCTAAGTCTCTTTGTAGGTCTCCAAGAACTTGTTTTATGAATCTGGGTGCTCCATGTGTGGGGTGTATATATATATACATATATTATATATATATATACACACATAATATATGTGTGTATATATATATATTAGTTAAGCCTTCTTATAGGATTGAACCCTTTATCATTATGTAATGCCTTTCTTTGTCCTTTTTGATTGTTGTTGTTTTAAAGTCTGTTTAGTCTGAAATAAGAATAGCAACCAACCTCTCCTCTTTTTTGTTTTCCATTTGCTTGCTTGATAGATCCTTCTCCATCCCCTTTGCTTTCAGCCTATGAGTATCATTGGATGTAAGATGGGTCTCTTGAAGATAGCATACAGTAGAGTCTTGTTTCTTTAACCAACTTGCCACTCTGTGCCTTTTGTGTGGGGGCATTTAGCCCATTTACATTCAAAGTAAATATTGATATGTGCATATTTGATCCTGTCATAGTGTTGTTAGCTGGTTGTTATGCAGACTTGATTGTGTAGTTGCTTTATAGTGCCAACATTCTATTTACTTAAGTGTGTTTTTGTGGTGGCCAGTTATGGCCTTTGATTTTTATGTTTAGCAGTCCCTTAGGGGCATCTTGTAAGGCAGGTCTCGTAGTGAATTTCCTTAGCATTTGCTTCTCTGAAAAGGACCTTATTTCTCTTTTGCTTGAAAGCTTAGTCTGGTTAAATATAAACTATTAGTTGGAATTTCTTTTCTTTAAGGATGCTGAATATAGGCCCCAATCCCTTCAATCTTACAGGGTTTTTGCTGAAAAGTCCACTTTTAGAATGAAGGGGTTCCCTTTGTAGGTGGCCTACCACTTCTCTCTGATTGCCTTTAACATTTTTTCTTTCATGTTGACCTTGGAGAATATGATGACAGTCTTGGGTATGGTTGTTTTGTATAGTATCTCACAGGGCTTCTCTGAATTTCCAGAGTTTGAATGTTGACTTCTCTAGTGAGGTTGAGAAATTTTTCATGGGCAGTATCGTCAAATATGTTTTCGAACTTGCTTGCTCCCTCTCCCTCTCTTTCAGAGATGCCAGTGAGTCATAGGTTTGGTCCTTTACATCATCTCATATTTCTTGGATGTTTTGTTCATTTTTAAAATTCTTTTTTCTTTATTTTTGGCTGACTAAGTTGAGTCAA
Source organism: Homo sapiens (assembly GCF_000001405.40). Classification (NCBI taxonomy): domain Eukaryota; kingdom Metazoa; phylum Chordata; class Mammalia; order Primates; family Hominidae; genus Homo; species Homo sapiens. Next base: position 110,789,593 of record NC_000003.12, read on the forward strand.
AGAACTGGCCTTCAAGCTCTGATATTCTTTTCTCAGCTTGGTCTATTCTGCTCTTAATACTTCTGATTGTATTATGAAATTCTTATAGTTTTTCAGCTCCATCAGATCAGTTTGGTTCTTTCTTAAAATTGTTTTTTCATCTTTTAGCTCTTGAATCATTTTACTGAACTCCTTAGATTCTGTGGATTGAGTTTCAACTCTGTCCCAAATCTTGATGATATTAATTGCTACCCAGCTTCTGAATTCTATGTTATCATTTCAGCCATTTCAATCTGGTTAAGAGCCATTAGTGGGGAGCTACTGTGGTCATTTGGAGGTAAGAAGGCACTCTGCCTTTTAGCATTGAGGCAACTCATTTTAAATCCACTCAAATAATTTTGTGATTTTTCTTTTTTGTTTAATTTAAAATGAAACTTAAAAATTCTTTAATACCAATTACATTTGAATGTGGCAAACATAATGATTTTTTAAGGTACTATGTTTTTCTAGCTTTGAGTTTTCCTAAACATTCTGCAAATAGAAAAATATTTTTCTTAAAGTTGAATTTTTTGTGAAAATTCAAACAGTAGAAAACTTAAAGTGACATACATGTAAATTAAATTATTCAGCAGAAAATAATAAAATGTTAAAATAGAAAAAAATACACCATAAAGCATGTCAGAACTTGAAAAAAAATGGCTATTTTGCTACCCTTAAACTTATAGTATCATCTCAAAAAAACCATCCAAAACTAAAATGTATTATTTATATTAGTTGTTAAGGAATAAAAATTAAAGCTACTGAACTATAATCTGATCACAGATATTTACTGTCCTTTGAATATGTTAACCTAAAAATTTTGAGCATCATATGCTTTCTGTAAAATGAGATGAAACTAAGCCTATGTATGCATACTATTTTGAAAAAAATACCTATATCACATACCTTTTACAATATTAATTAAATCAGAAAATTATGAACATTTATCTTTTTAATAAAATTTTGAATATTTTACAAGAATATCCAATAAGAATCAACTGCTTTTAAAAATTTTTAATTTTCCCACAATGATTTCAAAGATGAAATGAGTGAGCTGATCTATCTGAAAATAGCTGAGAAAGAAGAATTTTAAAGAGAAGTAGATGGAATAGTAAAAGAGGAAGATACGATGTGAACAGAATAAGACAGAGAAGCAAGACATCTCTGTGAGACAAGGAAGAGAGTAGCCAGGGTCTTAAGTGTTCCGTGGCTTACTAGCAGCAGGATAAAATATAAAGATGCCCTTTGTTTTGGAATAAGAAACTAGAGACAAAGTGTTTCTTGTGTCATCTTCAATCAAATTCAGAATATAGTAGTATATCCCTGATTTCTTTTTCCAGATCTTCATTAGTATTCAAGAAATAAGTATTTATTTTGCAAAGCACAGTCATTAAAGAAAAGAAAGCATGAAGAATGGTATGGAAGGAAATATTTTTTTATTTTCTTGCATAAATAGCCACGAAGGAAAAAAAAGAACTCAATAAATTTTCAAATGTTTGGCTCTAAAGACTTTTACAACACATAGAAAATGAAAGTGCATTCCAAATATTCACATGAAAAGCTCACTCTAAATGCCCAAATCTTTATGTCACCCTGATTCCTCCCAACTCTCCTTTTTAGTCATTTACTGAATTAGATAGGTATATCTTTTTTAAACAGTTTTTCAAATAAATGAATTTCCTGACATTATATTCAGTTAATACTACACTCACAAATGCATTTGGATGTTGTTTAATTTAGCATGCTTTTAGCTGTAAGGAACAAAAACCTTGACTCAAGTGAATTTAACCATTAGAACATGTATTATCTCACATAACAGGAAGTCTGTATGTAGGGAAATTTAAGGACTGGTTGATTTAGCAGATTAATGATTCTAACAGTAGCCCAGGTTTCCTTTTCTCAGTTCATCTGTGTTCACAATTAGCACCATCCTTAGATATAGTGTGATATGGCTACCCCAGTTTCCGGAAACATGTAATCATGACAATATCCAGAGACATTATTTTCTCCTGCGGAATTTTAAAGCAAGGAAAACTCTTTCCAGACACTCTTTTAAAAATCGCCCTTTAATTTCATTGGCCAAAATTGGTTTATGGGTCCATGTCTCAAAGAGTCAGTAAGATTACCCTTAATCTGATGAGTCCACTACAGAAACTGGAGTTGTGATTAGCTTTTCCATAGGCACATGGCTGGATTAGGAAGAGGAAAATATCTGGAAATAATTTTATAAAGAATTATCCTAGGAAGAAGAAAAATGTGAAAGCTAGATAGAAGCCAACAGTGCCTTCCATATATACATGTGTTGCCTGGACTTTAAAGACAAAAGACACATAATATTTCTGGAGCTTACGTAGTAATACTAAAGAAAGATTAACTTAAATTGAATATATGAATAAACAGTCCATATTTGCATAATGTTCTTCTTCTGAGAAACCCAATAAACTCCTAAAAGCTCAGTTTCTGGGAAACTCATTTCTTAAACATTTACTTGGGCATCCTGTTTTTTCTTGCAAATAGCCTGCCTACACAGATCCTTGTAATAACTCACTTAAGAATAATGCAGTGCTGTCAGGCAGTTAATTTCATCAGCTTCCCAAGGAAAGAGAAATCATGACCTAGTGATGCTGGTGGCTCCTGGAGGTCTGTCATGGCACTGTTCCCCCTGTATGTTCATGAGAACCCCCACGAATATCAATCATCTAGTGTCCCATTTTTGTCTTGACAACTGGTTATTTACTGTTATTAACAAGTCCCTGCTAAGGTGGTCACAAATAATTAATGTTTCAGTGAGTAAACTCAGTGTTAGGAGTGAGATTTAAAGGATAACCACCCCCCCTACAGTAGTCACTTTAAAAAGACAAAGATGAATTATCTTTTATTTTCACACAGCATGAGACTGGAGTGGCCACTAAGATTTAATGAGATCAGAAGTGACATCAGATAGTAATGACAAACTACTATTAGAGAATGAAGAGAGTATCATTTAATCTGCCTAAGAGATGCGGTGATAGTATTCACAGGTCTCTGCCTGTTTCAGCTTTTTTTTCACCCAGCCCCACCACTGGTAGGAAGGGTATCTTTAAATTCAATAACTCACAGAAGTTCTTCTATAAAAGCTGATGGACATTAGCAAGACATCATGGTGTTTTTGTTTGGTAGGTTCTCCATTCTGAGAAATACAGGAATTGATATAACATAGAAGCTGCCAGCTTGGAGCACAGGGCATTGCAACAGGATTAAGTTGAGATAGAGGAGTAGACAAGGGGAAAGAAATCAAAAGGAGAGGGGACTTCTAGTGCCTATGAGAAGTTTTGTGCAGCACCGAGAAACAAATAATTAAGGTAAAGTATAAGAAAGATATGTGCCCTGCTCTGGATCCCTGGTCAGTCATAAAAAAGAGTAGTTTTGTTTTTCTTTTTTTTTTTTTCCTGATGATGAATCAAGTCTATGATCCTCTGAAGGGCATAACAAGGGTACACATGCTATAGGGAAACTTCACTCCGAATTCAAGTTTGAGCTACTCCCAAAGTTCAATTCTGGCTCTAGAATCAGGGATCGCATAGGCAGCTGGCTTCCCCTTCACTCTTAGGAAGACACTTCATCCTTCTGCAATCTTCCTTGGTCTAGATAAGAAATTATGTTTACTCCATTATCTAAGAGGCAAAGAGGCAAACCAAAGCTAGGTATTCCCACGAACACTCTGTAGCTCACCTTGGTTCCTGAACACTGACAATATGACAGCTTTAGTGTTAAGCCAGTCACAATGCTATCATCTTCATCTTTTTTGTGGATCAGGAAAAGAGAAGCTTTCAAAGATTCCCTGTAAATCTCTGAGGGAAGATACTTGAAAGTCCAGATATAGTGCCATGTCATAGGGGACAACAATGGTCTGTGGGTCTACGTGTAGTAGATCTCTTCATTTAAAATAATATTTTAACTTCAAATTTATACCAGATCAAAGGAAACTCTATTACCTAAGAAACATTCACTGGCATGTCTTCTGTTCATTCAGTTGTTATCAAATATTTATTAAGCACATACTATGCAACAGGAATTGTTCTAGGTGTTGGAGATACATTGTTAAACAAAACTGGCCTTCTCTGCAACTAAATGAAGTTTAAAAAAAAAAACCCATAATCATGTTATGTCAATATCCTTTTCTGTCTGACTCATTCCAAACATGTTTTTGTAAGAAAACCATGTTCAATGCTAAAACATGTTATACAGCATAAATGCAACAAAATAGTCCAAGTGACAATAGAGTGATTAAGCAGCCTTGGTAAAGTAAACTTACAGTAAAAGGCCACCGGGTGATCTAGTACTACCTTTCCAGAGCCAGATTCAGGCATTCCCATTTCCTAGATGAAGAAACAGATGAAATGTATTTGTATAAGATCATTCAGATACCACCTGTTGGACCAGAATTTAAAATGGTTTACTTTCTGTAAGGTTAGCTGAGAGAAATGATGAGAGAGACCCAAGGTCAGGCTAGTAAGTTTATTAACCTGCCAAGCTGCAACACCATAGTCAGAGGAGGCAGCCCTGAGCTTACAAAAATAAGGGGTTTATATGGGGGAGAGAGACCCTGGGGTTGTTTGTTGGTTAACTTTACCACACAACATCTCGTGACTGGCTTACAATATAGGAATTTACAAGACAGTGTAACTTAGGTTTATCCACGTTTCTGGTGATGTCCCCCATGCCACCTGGAGGGCTGTAAGCAAGTGTGGTAACCTTGCTGTAGCACCTAGATAAGGGTCCAGGAATGCAGCTGCAGAGTATTCAGGGTAAGGGTTAGCTGCATTGGCAAGTGGGTTGGGGGGCGGGGCTGGTCCTGGGGCAGCTTGTCCCTAACACTTTCCACCTCAGACCATGCTCCTGCAACCCTTTACCCCTTTCTTCTGGTCATCCCCTAATTTCTTCACCTTTGTCCATAACTGTCTGAGCAAGTATTAGTGTACTTATACAAAACTGCTGTGATTTTTGAATAACAACTTAAACTTAAAGATCATTAGAATAGAAGAGGTTAGTTGCAGTTAAATATCACCTGAATCAAGTTTAGCTCCTCAGGTTGTTCCAACTTTAAAATATAAATTAAACATAGCAGTTTTAGTCCATGCTAAAAAAAAAATACCTTTCTGGATATATTCCACAGCCAGTCCAAGCAGCTACTGCCTCAGAGATCTAAGTCTTTGTTAATTTGTTTCCAAAGCTTCTACCTAAACCCAGACCCTTGGCCCTTGAGTTTTTCTTAAGACCTGAGACAGGATTCTCTGCTTTCTGTGGCACCTAATCACCCATCCCAGAAGTCAGTAGCTGCTGTTAAATCAAGTTTAGCCTAAAGCTGCCTCCTTACGTATTTTAATTTCAGCCTAAAAGTTCCTCTGTACATCATGAACTATAACCTAAATGGAGTTGTATGCAGAGTGTAGCCTACTCTTGTGCCAATTACCAAGTTTAGGCCAATGTGGCCAACTGTTGAAACCGTGTTCAAATAAGACGAATGCCAAGCTGTAACCAATCTGCCTGTTTATGTACCTGTCTTCCATTTTCTGTATGTCACTTTCCTTTTTCTGTCCATAAATCTTCTTCCACCACATAGCTGGGTTGGAGTGTCTGGCTCTGGAGGCTGCCTGATCTGCGAATTGTTCCTGCTCAATTAAGCTCTGTTAAATTTAATTTGGCTAAAGTTTTTATTGTAGCACTGCCATCAAGTTCATATTCACCTCTGGATTGCATCTCCTTTCAAATTTGAGGGTGTCTTCTGCCAAAACCCGTTCATTCTTGTTTTTAATTTATAGGTCAATGGTTCTCATACTCCAACATGCATCAGAAGCACCATGAGGTCTTTGATAAAACACAGATTGCTGGACTTCACCCACAAGAGTTTCTGATTTAGTAGGTCTAGGGTGGGGCCTAGGAATTTGCATTTCTAACAAGTTCCCAAGTACTGCTGATGCTGCAGGTCCAGGGACTGCGTTTTGAAAACCACTGCTGGAGTTCAGTGATTCTCATTCCTGGCTATACATTAGAGTCCTCTGAAGAGATTTTCAAAATAGAGATGCTCAATTTCTTCAGAGATTCTGAAGCTCAAAGTTCAAAGGCCAAAATGGGATGAGGCCCAAGAAACATACTTAAAAAAAAAAAATTCCCAGATGTTTCCACATCTATGAGAATAGCTAAAATTTAAAAATTCAGAAAATACCAAATGCTGGCCAGACTGTAGAGAAACTGTCTCTCACACTTTGCTAATGGTATTGTAGAAAGGTACAGCCATTCTGGAAAGTGGTTTGATAGTTTCTTAGAAAACTAAACATACAATTCCCATATGACCTAGAAAGTATACTCCTGGGCATTTATTGCAAGTAAGTGAACACTTATGTTCACACAAAAACCTGTACATAATAGTTAATAACTGTTTTATTTGTAATAGCCAAAAACTGGAAACTACCAAAATGTCTCTCAATAACTGAATAAACTGTGGTACATCTATACCAAGGAATACTACTCAGAAATTTTAAGAATGAACTATTGATACATGCAACAACTTGAATGGATTTCAAGTATATTACGAAGAGTTAAAACAAAAAAGCCAATCTCAGAAGGTCACATATTATATGATTCTGTTTATATATTATAACAGTTTTGAAGTGATGAAATTATAAAAATGGAAAAGAGATTAGTATTGTCAGGGGTTAGGGATGGTGGGGAGTGGGAAGAGTGACTATAAAAGGGTCACAAGGGAAATCACTGTGGTGATGGAATAGTTCTGCATCTTGATTTTGGTGGTAGTTATGTCAGAGGAGTTTGAACCAGAGTGACTCTGTCTTGAATAGGGGCTGGGTCAAATAAGGCTGAGACTTACTGGGATGCATTCCCAGGGGGCTAGGCATTCTAAGTCACAGGATGAGATAGGAGATTGGCACAAGGTATAAGTCACCAATACCTTGTTGATAAAACAAGTTGTGATAAAGAAGCCAGCCAAAACCCACCAAAACCAAGATGGTGATGAAAGTGACCTCTGGTCATCTTTACTGCTCGTTATATGCTAATTATAATGCATTAGTGTGCTAAAAGACAATTCCACCAGCAGCATGACAGTTTACAGATGCCATGGCAATGTTCAGAAGTTACCCTACATGGTCTAAAAAGGGATATTACCCACCCCTGTCCCAGAAAATGTATGAATAATCCACCCCTTATTTAGCATATAATCAAGAGATAACTATAATTAGTCACGCAGTCCATTTCTCTGCTCTGCCTATAAAGTAGCCATTCTTTATTCCTTTACTTTCTTAATAAACTTGCTTTCACTTTATTCTAAGGACTTGCCCCAAATTCTTTCTTGTGTAAGGTCCGAGGACCCTCTCTTGGGGTCTGGATCAGGACCCCTTTCCAGTAACAGTTACAGGAATCAGCATATATATGAAAAATGACATAGAACTATATACATACTTTGTACCAGTGTAAAATTCCTGGTTTGGATATCATACTATAATTATGTAAGATAGAACCATTGGAAGAAACCAGGTGAAGGGTACACGTGTCTTCTCTGTACCTCTGTGTAATCTGTATAACTTCCAGTGAATCTATAATTATTTCAAAATAAAAAGCTAAGGAAAAAAAATACGTCTCTTGTCAGTGGCAGCCAGGGTTTGGAAATATTGTTTCAAGCCTCCTTCTTTCTTGAGGTCCCTACACAGCTCTGCCCACACCTGACTCAATCTGTGTTAGATTGTTTCCTCTTTTACAATTACCCAAATTGGCTGATCTTCTACATGCTACTACAGGGAATTAATTGGTATCATCTGTCAGGAGAGGCAACTAGGCTGTGTCTATCAAGGCCCTTAAAAATATTCACATCCTTTCACCCAGTGATTCCAGTCCTAGCAATCTATCCTAAGGAAAACACCAGAGATGTAGTCAAAGATTATCTGCAGTACTAATCACAGCAGCAAAAATACTGAATGTAAACTAAATAGTTAAATAAATGTAGATAAACTTATATGCTAAAATGAGGCAAGCTTTTAAAACAAAGTTGAGAAATTTTTGCTAAGTCTCATAAAGTATGATATCAAAAATTATATAGATTTTGTTCCCGATTACATTAATTTGTATTTGTGAAGGAAACACACCAAATAGTAAGTGGAGTTTGTATTTGAGAAGGAAACACACCAAATAGTAAATGGAGGTACTTTTTGAGGACTTAGATAAGTAATTTTGAATTTTCTTTTTACAACTTTTTCTGAATTTTTTTATTTTGTTTGATGAACTGAGCTTTTATAATATAAATAATGCTGCCCAAGGCAGATACGAATTAGCAGTCACATCTACAGGCTTTCAGAATGTTTACAAAAGAAAACGTTGTCCTTAACCATATACAGAAACATAATCTACTTCTGTCCAAACTTTATACCAGACTCTTTTTGGAAATCTCTCAAATCTCCCAGCTGACATTATCTCCCAGTCAGACCATTATTCCCGAAAGTGTGATCAAGGCCCTTTCTTCTGGCTATCCTATCACTCCTCTCTCAGCCTATGCCCCCACCATTCAGCCATCTGCTACCTGGACAGGATTGCCTCCCTCCATTTTCTCAGATGTGAATGTATTAGAGCAGTTTAAAACAGGCAAAGGGAGGAATATTTTCTGGTATTATGTAATTAAAAATTCCATTTAGTTAACAATCTTTCTGGAAAAATATTTCTATAACATTTGGCTGCCAATAAAAATTTATTTAAATTAATATTTTCAATGTTTGTGATTTCAAAATACATTTTTAAGTGCCATGCTATTTTGTTATCAACTTTTCTTTTTCTACAAGTTTCTTTCTGGCAGTTTGAACTATTCTAATAAAGTGCTTTAATTACAAAGAGTATTTTTGTTTTACTTTTCCTGGATTCAAGCTCTATTTTAAAAAAGGAGTACAAAATAAAGTTATGTTTATCTCCTTAATTTGATTATGTTCTACCTGTCAAAATATTTATATTAATCTCATTATAATATGAATGCATTTTATGGTGCTTGAGTTTACAGAGTTCCCTAGAGCTCTTTTAAATGTCTTCCTTTGTATATTTTCTAGATTATAGATCACCACAGTGTTGTCCTCCACACTGCCTCATTCATCTCAATAATCTAAAAATCTTCCAGTAATTACAGTTCAGAGATATGCTTTCAGTTGAAGTTCTAAAAATCTTCCAGTTATTCCAGTTCAGAGATACGCTTTCAGTTGAAGTTCTAAGCATCACAATAGTCTCACTCTTTTATTTTAACCCTTTGAAAAATAGATATATCCAAAAAGTGTCACAGGGAAACCACCAGAGTCCCAAATTCTAGTTCAACCCTCTTACTCCTTCTGTCAGCTTGGGGGATAGCTTGCACTCGGTGTTCCCATGTATAAACTGAAAACACTGGACCAGATAAACCTCCAAAAGTTGTTGATGGGTTGTATTCTGTTTGTTGAATTTAAGATACTTCTTAACCATGTGTAGTAACACTCCCATCATTGCAATCCATTTCTTAGCAGTACTGACATTGAATAGGCTTGTTTTAGAAAGTGAGATCAGATCAGAGAGACCTGGGCTTCAGATGCCAAAGCCTAATTCCTACCTATCTACTCTAAAGGTCACAGAAATTTTTGTAAAATAATAGGTTTCAACCTTAAATTCAAATTTCCTCAAGTCAGCTCCATAGTTTCAACCTTGGACAGAATTTTACTAGTGTAAGGAGTCAGGGAACCAAACATTTGAGGTAGTTTGAGGCTAGTGGACAGTCATTTGACAAGACTATGATTAAGCTTCAGTGAATCTTGCAACACTCCAGATGAACAAACTTAAGGAGACTGTCATTACAAGCACTACGGTGAATGGCCTAAGGCCTTTCTTTCTTTGGTGATGATTGAAAACTAACTGCAAGACTCTCAAAGGAGCGAGAGCCAAGAGACTGCAACTGACAGATGGTTAATTTAGACTGCAATCCAGAGCATATTTTTCATTTAAATCTGAAAAACTTAAATATTCTTTAAAAGTGAGTTAAAATTGAACATTTTCATGTGAAGAAAACAAATCAGATTAATAATAATCGCCAAATTAAATTATGGAGCTTGTTATTTATGCAGAGCAACAATTTGTTGACTACATCTTTCTATTAATATAACGAATGAATTATTAATTAATAATTTTTAGCAAGCATTTATTGAGTATCTAGATTGTATATTGCTCTGTGTTAGAATGAATATAATCAAGAAAGCATTATCTTTGGGCTTGTGCCCAGAAGAGAGATTGTTGGGTCATGTGGTAGTTCTATTTTTAATTTCTTTAGGAACCTCAAAACTGTTTTCCACAATAACTGCACTAGTCTACATTCTTACCAAAAGTGTACAAAGATTCCTTTTCTCCACATCCTCGCCAAGACTTAGCATCTCTTGTCTTTTTGATAATAGCCATTCTAACAAGTGTGAGGAGATATCTCATTGTGGTTTTAATTTGCATTTCCTTGATGATGATGATGATAAGTACCTTTTCATATACCTATTAGCCATTTTCATGTCTTCTTTGGAGAAATGTGTATTCATGTCCTTTGTCCATTTGTTAATCAGGTTATTTGTTTTTCTGCTATTGAGTTTTGTGAGTTCTTTATATATTTTAACAGGTATATGGTTTGCAAATATTTTCTTCCAATTCATAGCCTGCCTTTTCATTTCATTGATTGTTTGCTATGCAGAAGCTTTTTTGTTTAGTATAGTCCCATTTATTTATTTTTGCTTTTGTATTCTGAGCTTTTGGTGTGATATCCAAAAACTTATTGCGGAGAAACTTGGCAATGTCAAGGAGCTTTTCCCCTATATTTTCTTCTAGGTATTTTATGATTTCAGATCTTACATTTAGGTCTTTTATCCATTTTGACTCGATTTTTGTGTATTTTTGACTCAATTTTCTCAGATGTGAATGTTTTAGAGCAGTTTAAAACAGGCAAAGGGAGGAATAATTCCTGGTATTATATAATTAAAAATTCCATTTAGTTAACAATCTTTCTGGAAAAATATTCCTATAGCATTTGGCTGCCAATAAAAATTTCTTTAAATTAATATTTTCAATGTTTGTGATTTCAAAATACATTTTAAAGTGTCATGGTATTTTGTTATCAACTTTCTTTTTCTATTTTTTTTCTGGCAGTTTGAACTATTCTAATAAAGTCCTTTAATTACAAATAGTATTTTTGCTTTACTTTTCCTGGATTCAAGCTTTATTTTTAAAAAGAAGTACAAAATAAAGTTACCTTCATCTCCTTAATTTGATTATATTCTACCTGTCAAAAATGGTATTTTATCCATTTTGACTTGATTTTTGTGTGTGGTATAAGATAGGGGTCCAATTTTATTCTATTGCGTATAGAAATTCAGTTTTCCCAGCACCGTTTATTGGACAGACTATTCCTTCCTCAGCTGTCCTCTTGGTATCCCAGTCAAAAATTAATCGACCGTATATATGCTTGGGTTTATCTCTGAGCTCTCCGTTCTGTTCCACCAGTGGAACAGAATAGAAAGCTCAGGTGTGTTTTTATTACTATAGCTTTGTAATATAATTTCAAATCAAGAAGTGTGATGCCTCTAACTTTGTCCTTCTCAGAATTGCTTCGGCTATTTGGGGGTCTTTTATGGTTTCATATGAATTTTAGAATTTTTCTTCTATTTCCATGAAGAATGCCATTGAAATTTTGATAGGAATTGCACTGAATCTATATATCACTCTATACAGTATGAACATTTTAACAACATTAATTCTCCCAATATATAAACATGGAATATCTTTTTATTTATTTGGGTCTTCTTCAATTTATCTAATCAATGTTTTATAGGTTTCAGTGTGTAAGTCTTTCACCTTCTTGGTTAAGTTTACTCCTAAGTATTTTTATTTTTTGATGCTGTCATAAATGGGACTGTTTTCTTGATTTTTTTTTTCAGATAGGTCATTATTTCTATACAGAAATTTATGGAAATAGCAATCCCTTTTCTGGGTACATACCCAAAGGAAATGAAATCACCACTTCATAATGATAGCAGTACTCTCATGTTATTTCAGCATTATTCACAATATACAAGACATGGAAACAACTGAAGTGTCCAGTAATAGACAAGTGGGTAAGGAAACTGTGGTATAGATATATGATGGTATATTATTTAGCCTTAAAATAAAAGTAGATCCTTCCATTTGCCACAACATGGATGTAACTGGATGGCATTATGCTAAATGAATAAGCCAGACACAGAAAGAATAATACTGCATGATCTCACAATATATGTGGAATCCAAAAAAAAAAGTCAAATACAGAAATAGAAAATAAAACAGTAGTTACCAAAGGTAGGACAAGGAAAGGAAATGGGGAGATGTAGGTCAAAGGATACAAAGTAGCAGATAGATAGGATGAGCAAAACTGCATGAGAAATATATTTTAAAATATTGCATTTGGGATTTTTGCTTAAAAAAGTGGATATTTGATGTTCTTGCCACAAAATAAGTAACTGAGACAATGAATATGTTAATTTGCTTGACTATAGTAACAATTTCACTCTCTACCTGTATATTAAACATCATGTTGTACACCTTAAATATATACAATAAAATTGTTTAAAAGCTGAAGGAAAAACACATTATCTATTCAATCAGTTATTTCTACAAATATTACTATAATCTCTATAATATTTAAAATCCTGTGGTGATAAAACATGAATCTCAAGTAAATAACAATAATAACAACAATAGCTTATAATTATAAAGTATCCTACCACAATTAAAGCATCATAAACTTATATAAATTAGCTCATTAATCTTTCCAGCAACCCCATGAGATTGGTAATATTATCATCCCCATATTACAGATGAGAAAATTGAGGCATAAGCTGTTAAGAGCCATGCCCAGGGTCTGGATCCCAGATCTATTATTTGGCATAAACTCTGAGTCCCAGCATTTTAACTATTACAATCCAATCCAATAGTTGAATTATTGAAACATAAGTTTGCCATTTTTTATCAAAATGGTTGAATATCATCAATTAGATATAATTCAACGATATAGGTTTGCATGCATGACATAACAGATTAATTCTCCTAACAGGGCTATAAGAATTTAGAGTTAGTAGAAACAATTCAAACAGTTTGGTATTACCAAAGGACACTTAGTGTAGAAGGTGGAAACTGATCTCAGTTTTAAAGGATAGGATGTGAATAAAAGGAAAACCAGGAAGTGTTTTCTAGGTGAGAGGATGACTTATACCAAGCCAGGGAGGTAAGAATGCATGTGTGTCTTCTATAAGTATTGACATTAGTTTTATTACTGCTATGGAGTCTTGATACCTATTTCCTGCCTGATTTTCTGATTCCAGATACCCCCCAGCACCACCACCAACTAATTTGCCCTAAAGAGGGGCACATGCGTTTAATTGTGTCCCCGCTCCAAAATGTATATGTTGAAGCCCTAACCCCTAGTACCTCAGAATGTGGCCTTATTTGAAAATAGGGTCATTGCAAATATAATTAGTTTAGATGAGGTCAGTAAGATGGCCCTAATCCAATATAATCGATTGCCTTATAAAAAGGAAAAATTTGTACACAGAGACATACACCCAGGAAGAGCACACGTGAAGATGAAGGCAGGGATTGAAGAAGCAGCACGGAGATACTTCCACAAGCCAAGGAACACCAAAGATTAGGGACTGTCAAAGAATACCAAGGAATACCAAATCACTAGAAGCCAGGCAAGAAGCATGAAACAAATTTTCTCTCACAACCTTCAGAAAAAAACAACCCTTGACCTGAGACACCTTGATCTGAGAACACCTACTTCCCAGAACTGTGAGATAATACATTTCTGTTAAGTCGCCCAGTGGATTAGTCAGGGTTTTTCAGAGAAACAAATCACATAAACAAAACTATATAGAGATTTATTATGAGGTGTTGATTCATGTGATTATGGAGGCTAAGAAGCCCCATGATCTGCTCTCTGCATGCAGGAAACCCAGGAAAGGTAGTGGTTTAGCTCTAGTCTAAACCCATAGGCCTGACAACCAGGATCACCAATGTCAGAGGGCAAGAGAAGTTGGATGTTGCAGTTCAAGCAGAGGGTGAATTTGCCATTTCTCCACCTTTTGGTTCTGAGTCCTCAGCAGATTGCATGATGTCCACTCATATTGCTGAGGGCATTCTTCTTTACTCAGTTTACCAATTTAAATGCTAATCTTTTTCAGAAATACCCTCACAGATACACCCAGAAATAATATTTTACCAGCTACTTGGGCATTTCTTAGCCCAATCAAGATGACACATGAAATTCACCACCACATTTGGTTTGTGGTACTTTATTATGGAAGCCCTAAGCAAACTAATATGAGGGAGAAACACAAAAAGCCTGCTTGAGTGTTTTCATTCTTTCTCCCTTTCTCCACAGGAACTCTGGGAAGATGTAGAGATTCAGAGAAATTCTTCTGGCCTCCAAATTCTAAGCCTCGATCAGCACATCAGTATTTCTCTCAATATTTTATCATAACAAAAACTTGGCCATTAATCCAAACACTATTTTTTAGACATCCTGATTTTTGCATCTTCCAAGTGACACATTTTTGTGGTAAAGAATCAACTGGGATCTATGATCACGCTAGATCTATGTCTTCAGTCATTGCTTTCTTGGTGTTAGCATTTTTATCTCCCAATTTAAGAATTGTTTATAGACCTTACAAATATGTAAGACACTATTTTATAGTGACATTTGAAATATCTTATTTCAAGTGTTATAGATATAAGCTATAAAATATAGATATAGATATAACAACTTCTAAATATAACCACTTTGGATTTTTTAGAAAGAATGTACAATTTTTTGAGGCAATTCCAAGAAAAGAAAAATAGTTAACATTATTTAATGCTTGTAAAAGATACTTTTTAAAGCAGATTTACGTGTGTTACCTCATTTAATCCTCACAACAAACTTTGAAGTCGTTTCTATAATTATAGTGAAGACAGTAAGGCACAGAGATCAAAGTCATACAGCTACTTAGTGTCATAATCAATATAAAAAGAAAGAAAACCTTTATGAGTACCTACTGCATATGTAGAACTGTATCACCTGGTTTGATGAGTTATCTTCCTTAATTTTACTTAATCTTTGGTAGCATTGACCAAAACTGTGTGACTAACATGTTATTATATTTAACATGTTATTATATCTTCTTTTCCCCGATAATACAGCTAAGGCCTAGAGAATTTTTTTGTCCAGTTCACATTGCTAGTAATTTGGGGGATAATATTTTAGGTCTGTGTTTGAAACGTGTGTTCTCTTCCAAGTTAATTATATTAATCAGTCGCACACATCTTCATAAGTCTTTTTTTTTCTTTCCTCAGTCTTCCTACTGGTGTTCCCTAACCACTCCTATAAACAGAGCCCCACCCAGCTCTTTGGATCCAGGGTAATCTCAACAAAGGGCAAACATAAGAACCACTTTATCCATGGCCAAGCAGCCTGTCTTCAAAATTGACTTACTGCTTTTCTTACTGCTTTTCCTCTCTGGTCTTTTATTCTGGTTTCAGAAACCAAGCTCATTTTTTTTTCTTTATAATCAGATGTCCACTTTAAGCCACATAATGAGTAATTAGACCCCTAATTTGATATGCTTACTCCAGTATGTTGCTTGCTGGCACATAATTTCCTCCACAGACCAGTTTTTTATATCAGTTTTTATTGGTGCTGGTTAAATTCTTCTATTTTGAACCATTAGAGACACAAACAAAGGTTTCTGAAATTTCTTGAGCGTCTTCTGTTGATTACACCATAAAAGAGACACACTGCACGTTTTGTTTGTCCTCTTCTTTTCATGACTGGTGCTAGGAAAATCCCCACCATTGAAGAAATTTGGACCCAGAAAGAAACATAATGATCAGCTCAGACACCAGAATGAGTAGAAAGAGAAGGACAAAGTACTCGATGGAGGACACATGTTTCCAGAGACTGGAAGCATGATGCCACTTTTTTTACATTACCTACTGTTGTAAAATGTAGTGTATTAATATAAATTTGAAGAATAATAAGACCAACAGATCAGGAAATGGCTGCCATTGAAAACATAATTTATTACTCACAGTTTCCAAGAGGAGGGGGCACACCGTGCCACAAGAGGCCACAGGGAAACACCAGGGTTGATCAGGAGGCAGAGGGAGAGGGAAGAACTGTGGACAAAACCCTTTATTGCAGTTTTCATGAGAAATAAGGAGTGAGATGAGTAGGCAGACTTAGGATTGGCTACTTTGGATTTCAGTGGGCTTTAGGGCATAGGGACTGCCCATAGTTGTCTGGTATCTGGCCCTTGAGTAATTAAGGCAGATGAATAGTGACTTCGAGTGTGAGAAACCTGTAAAGGTAGTTGGAGTGTGGGCTGTAGGTTGGCTGGTTTGTATTTGAAAAGTGCACTCATAGGCCAGTTGTTTACTATCTCTGTGAATTGGCTAGCCCTGGGAGAAGCAGTCCTTCTAAGGCCCCAGATGTCAAAGCATCTGAATACAGAAAATAAAAGACATAATTAAGACACCAATACATGACCACTCAGTTGTGGAATAGTAATTTTTTAAAATTTTAATGTTTAAAAATTATTTTTATTTTTTGACTTTTAGGTTCAGGGTTACATGGGTAAATTGTGTGTCACTGGGGTTTGGTGTACAAACAATTTTGTCACCCAGATAGTGAGGATGGTACCCAATAGGTAGTTTTTGATCTTTTAAAACTATAATGTATACATGTTTTTTGTTGGAGTCTCACTCTGTCACTCAGATTGGAGTGTAGTGGCTTCTAGCCTCAAACTCCTGTATCTTTTATTTTGACATTTGTTAATATTTTCAAAGAAAAAATAACTTTTTATGAACAAAGAAGCACTTAAGAATTACCAGCTAGATCTAGATATTACTTTAACAACACTAAAAAAATCACAATATAAGTAATAATTATTAATTTAATCTATTCATCATATGCAGCATCATTACAATGTTTGAACATGGTATGCAAATTTTGTGGTACATTTTTAAAGATATATGAAATTGTTGGTTATTCTGTTGCATAATTGCCTTGAATAGTAAGCATTTGGTATAAGGGCTTGAGGGTTGAATTACATTAAGTAAGACTTTCTGAGATTAGTGTGTGGGCAATGAAAGAGAAGAATGGTCTCAATCCTGGAGGGGCAAGCTATCATGGCAAATCTGTCCTCACCCTACCCCAACCTGACTCCTGACCCAAGCCCTCTTCCCTGCTCTCAGGGAAGTTTTTTCTGACAATGCTGCTGCCCCCACCATTGCTGCTGCTGCCCCCACCATTGCTGCCCAGATGCTATCAAGAAACATTAATGCAAAAGAAGGTGAAAGTTCTATGTGTCTTGGGGAGAAAAGGTCTTGTTCTGTGATCTGGGCTGGCACTGTACTTTGATTAAGTACATCTTTTCAGTCCCACAGTCCACATTATTGTTTACAGTTTTCTATTTTAGAAACTCTGAGCTGACTCATCAAGGGACCAAATGTCAGAAGCTATTGCTAGCTAGTGTTCCCCAACACATGTGCCTTTCCTATGTCCTGTAAAAGAGTTTATGTACATTGACCCCCAGCTACAATTCCATGTGCTCTCTCTCTTTCCCAGGCTAGACCTAATAAAAAATTCCCCCTCAATTTAACATTTTTCTCACCTAGAATTTTAGGAATTCTTATGCAGATAGAAAACCTCATGACAAGATACAACCTTCCAGAACCTTACTTCTAGAAGTGGCTATGCTTCTCGCATTCTCCTGAAGGCTGGAAAATGTTATATACTGCTTGGAACCACAGATTATACTTCAAAAAGATAGACTTCAAACTAAACAAATATAATATACAATATAATACAAATTATACAAATGTGCATATATGTCAATGAGTTCCAGACTTAGAGCTAGAGAGCTCTAATTTAATTCTAATACAGAATCTAACAGAGTCTAATTTAATTCTAATACAGAAGAGATTAATAGGCTAATCAGTTGTCTCCTGTTGCTGTCTTTTCCTCATCTGTAAAATGAAGGGAGACAATAACCTCCCACTGTAATAATCAAGTGAGATAAAGTGTAGTTATTACATGCACTGTAAAAGCTGGAGAGAAAATGCCCCAAGGAAACCACTCCAGGGTTCTGCTTTGCCCAAAGCTTTTCTTAAAGACTTGTGGCCAAAGTCTTAAAAAGGGCAAGGGTTTGAATGTTGGTTTTCAATAGAATTGAACAAGTTAGGGTACAAGGCCAACATTCACAATCAATCATGGGTAGAGACAACCCTGAAGAAAGAGATTACATGGTGAGAGTTTTAATAAGAAAGAGTAAGGAGGCTGTATTTCTAGGGCTGCTGGGAAGAAAGGAAAGAGAGAACAGGGAACTGGCTGAGCAGAAGTCACAACCAAGAGCTGCATTTGCCCAACAATGATATACAGGTAAGGTCCAGTTTTTACATTAAAATATTTTCAACAAGGGTTTGTATTCACATTAGCGATTTTGCTTTTTGCTTACCTCATCTACCCAGATAAACTTTTAAATTGCTATGGTAAGCATTGTTTCCTCATAAGTTAAAATAAGCACTTCTCTTACAAATATTGAAAAGAAATCACCGTATTATGCCTTAATATAGCAGTCACATATCAAAGAAAATTTCTAAAATCAAAAACACAGAAAAATATATTTAAATATGCCCCAAATCCTCCAGAACTATGTAAGTGCTACGATAGCTTTAAATACATTCTGTCAATTTCTGGGACAATAATTCTATTACAAAAACACAAACTGTATTCTCTAAAACAGAGACATCACTCAACCAGAGAAATGAGTTAATTCAAAAAAAAAAAAAAGTAGATCACTGAAATGGAAAGCTGATACACACACACATATTTACATACACATGTATATGAACTATATATGTCTATATAAGCAAATACATATAGATGTTACATAAAATCTAAAATTTGAAGTATGAAAATTTCTAATTCCATATTATTTTAATGCAATTATTAAGAAGAGTTGTTCCTTTTAAAGCATCACTTTGATAGATACTAGAACAGTCTGCCTAAGGAAAGGCAACAGTAACTATTCTTAAGGCAATTTATAGGCTATATTCTTTGATTCACTGAATATATAGTTTTGCTAATATGGTGAGAAATTAGATAAATGTGCATTCCCCATAAATTGGACAATGGTCTGAAGCCAATTGCTAAGTCAACTGTGTAATTGTTGTAAACATTTCTTATACGTTAGTCATTTTCCCACACTATAAAATTAGTTGAGACTTGAATTTTCAGGTTTTAGTCCCCTGATTGGCAATTTGTTTACCAAAAAAAAGCCCCCAAAGCACCGTATACCATCATATAATTAAATGCCTGCATATGCTTTGAAGATAAAGCAATCATTATGAAGTATTTCAAAGAATTATTTTAGGAATAAATTCAACAAGTACATTAAGTAGATGTATTGGTGTTAAAAAATGGAAATATGCCTCTTTATACTCTGTAATATCAGCCGTAATGAGCACCACTAGTTTTAAACACTGTTAGTCTTTAGTTGGTCTGTCTCCATTCTGGAAAAGGACATCAAAAAAAGCTGATAACTTCTATTAATGCAAAGATATTCAGGGATTCTGCTGGTTCTTTAATTGTCTGTAACTGGTCTCTCTGTTCTTCTTCCTTAGAATGTTAAATGAAATCAAATAGGCTGGAGTGCCCAGAAAGAATAGGCACCTGCCAATGAGGAATTCTTAAAGCCGGTGAGTGAATATTCACTATCAATATCATTAGTGCTTTTATTCAGTTATCCATTAATATATCTATTCAGTTACCCGATATTTTCTCAACAATTGTTATAGGTGCAAATTATGGAGACAAAAAACCTGCCCAGTTTTTTACCTCAATCAACTGATGCTCTAACAGTCACGTAAGTAAGAAATACTATCAAATCACTGAAGAACTGGGATATTTTCTATAAGGTTCACCAAGACAGGAAAAAATGATAATAAAATCTTAAAATAATACTGTAACACTTAATTATTTTTCATGGTATATAATCTTGTGATCTCTGGGTGTTGCTTGAAAACCATCCACATGAATGCGTAATTGCAATGATTGATGTGGATCAGGATCAATACTGAGCCTTCTTTGCCAGATAGAAATTAAAGGAGCAATGATTGTTGGGCTAGCCTCAATTTCCATCCTATCCCTACCCCTCACATGGCTGAACACAAAATAGTTTTTTATATTCAATAGAAGAAGTACCCTCTCCCCCTGTCCTGGCAACCTTGTCTTCTGTCTTTAGAGATCACATTTCAAAAGCAAAATTTATACTTTTCAATATAAGTCAGAAAAAAGAATTTGTTTCCCAAAGAAATAATTCTATAAATTTGAAAGTCACCTATAAAGGGATATCTGAATTAGTTTTCCACTATCCAATAGATAAAAGAACTGGTGAAATATGGACAATTTACAAATTCATCTCTAAATTATTGAGTGCATACTATACCAGATTTTAAAATCAGTGCCAAATTAACATAATAACTATAATATTGTATAACTTTCTTGTTAAAAATTTAAAATTCTGAACCAAACTCTTCAGTTTATTGATGCGGTATACCTTATTAGAGACTTGAGCTCTTGCTGTTGAAAAATGCTTTTAGGGAGATGAAAGTAATTGGTTTCTACAAATTGTGTTCTGGCTTCCTAAAAGTAATATAACCTACTTTCTTTATACAGATGCTATATGCCAGCTGAAAAATAAAAGATAAAAGAATCAGAGATGGAGTAGGGAATCTGACTTCGGAAATGTGTAAAGGACAATGATTGTCTGGGGAACAATGGGAAAGAATGATGCAGGAAAGGGAGAATGTGTGTTAGCCTAGAAGTTTCATTTCCATTTGGAAAAAGGAAGAAAACTGGATACTTCCTGAGTTTCAACTGTGAGTCAGGTCATTTCATAACCTTGTTTAGTGTTCATGGCAACTGTATGAGAGAGTATTTTTTTCCTATTTTACAGATTAAAAAATGAACTTAAATAAAATATCTAAGATCCTATAGTGGCCAAGCTAGGAATGGAATTGCCTCTGTATGATTCCAGAGCCTGTCTTCATTCTCTTCTGGATAGAACAGGGATCAGAGAAGAACAGATTATTTGGGAAATAATGATGTATGCTGACATCAGAGGACTCAAACTACAAAAATGTAATTTATATTTCAATGCCTCAGTGATGTTTTATTCAAAATGCCAAATAATTATATTATTTTTTACAATAATCTTAATGTTCTAGCATGGGAACGTTCTCAGTGTAACCAGTGTTAGACCACCAAGGGAATTAGGAATTTTTGTTTTAGTTCAGGCTTTTACTGATAAACTTTCCAAAGACTATTAAAATAGCTCCTTGCTTTAACTTTAAAATGGTTTTCACACTGTGAGAAAATTATAAGATATTAATGAGTTCATGCATGTGATGTCCTTTGAGTTCCCTGAAAGAAGGGGCTTTTTAGAAAAGTGATGCTGTCCTCTTTTGTTCTTTTTTGTTTGGTATCTTGCCTAAGTTGACTGAACATTTGTGGCTTGTTGATTCTGCTAGTCACCAGAAAAAAATGAAGCCATGCTTCAATGGCCAAATTAGAATAGAAGTCAGTTAATGATTTAACTTCTACCTCCAGACTTTCAGGAATAAAGATTTTGGCAATGCTTTGATTGCCATTGCTTTAGTGTGTGTAGGTTGGTACTTCACCATGATGTGAGATTTACTTAATAAGAATTCAGAAGCTATTTGTAAGAACATGGGATGTGAGCATCAGAGATTGTGACAGAACTTGAGAGCTACCTTTAAAAAATCCAGGAGGTAAAGAAGGAATGGAGAGGGGATAAAAGTAGCTGTTAATAGAACCAGCAATATTCCAAGTAAGCATATTTAACTTTATAAAGCACTGCAGATGTCGTCAGTTTGGTGACCTGGAAGACAAGCTCACATGAAGAAATATCTTTTTGACAGGAGAATGGTTTGTACGTAAATGGACTTTAAATGTACCAGAGATTGTTTGTATTTGGTATTACATTACTTGAAAAACTAATTACACAGTTTGTAATTAATAGGCAACACTCTCTTTGGAGGAAATAATTTTAACCCAATATCTGGAGTTGCTAATTTTCATTTTCTCAACTCTTCTCAACCTCCCTTGATCCTAATCTTCTTCGTACTTTCTCACCAGTCACCTTCTTCTCACTTTCTACTGGTTTCTTTCTATGAACATTTAAACATAATCAATATGCCATTTGTCTAAAACAAATAAACAAAACCCTCTCAACCCCATAAGCTTCTCCAGCAATTGTCCAACCTAATTATTTGAATTATTTTTGTGTTTTATACATAATAAATACACAATATGTATTTGTCCAATCAAATAATGTTTGTTAGAACTTAATGCAGTCTTTTGTAAGTTTTATCACTTGCATCATGATTCTTTCTATTTATATGTACCAAGATTGTTTTAATTCATAGATGACTCCTAAATCTATACTCCCAGGCTATTGTCTGGATTTGCAATCCAATTGCATATATTTTCAACTATCTATTGGACTTTTTCACCCATGTGTCTCACAGCACTTCACACTCAGCTTATCCAGAACTAACTCATCAGGCCTCCTTCCATATATGTATATATATCATCTTCCCTATCTCAATGAAAGGCAGCAAAGCAGCTTCATCCACTTCATTTTCCAAGCCATATATCTAAGAGCTATCTCTTATCCCTCCCTGCTCCTCATCTCCAATATTTGTGTTAACTACTGCATATTCCTAATTTTATCCCCTTAATACTTCTTAGATCTCATTTCCCTCCATCTCACTGTATTCTAAGCCATACCATCATTATCTCCCTAGATTACTGTAACTGCCTCCTAATGCTTCCATCTATTCTGCATACTTGATCTAGAATAATCTTCCTAAACATAAATGTGGTATTAACACTACCCTGCCCAAATCTTTGCCCATTGACCTAATAATGAATGAACAATCCTTTAACACAGCTTGTGAGTTCCCACCTGCATCATTTATCCCTACCTGCATCATTTATCCCTACTAGACCAACCCATTCTATAGGGACACTGAAATATTTTTCTCTTCCTTGAACCTGCCATATTATCGTGTTAGATCTTCAAGCATGCACTTCTCCCTCTCTGGAGCACACTTTCCCCATTCTATTCTGCTCCAATCTGAGAGGGGAAAAGTAAAGTCTCAGCTTCTATCTAGAGGCCACCTCTAGTTAGTCTAGATAAGATTAGGTTCTTGTCTATGTCTTTTTTCTAAGTTATTACTAATCATATTTTAATTATTTTATAGTTGTCTATCTTTTTCAATAGAGTCCATAATTATTACGAAAAGAAATCATGTCTCTTCTTGATCTCACACTATCCTCAGCTTCTAATACAGTGCTTTGCAAGTAGTGGATGCTTAATAAAGTTTTTATGTAAGTAATTTTATCTGAAATAAAAAGTAGCATCATTTAAGCATACAATTTTTGATAGTCGATTGCATGCTTTCCTTAGAGAGTACAGATTCAGAGTCCTCTGAATTGTTCATTCCAACCAGGCCATGTTTTAAAACAAAAGGGGATAATATTAATGAATTATAGGTCAACAGAGTAAACTGAGATTCTTACAGGCAGACTAGGAAATGTGGTCACCCTCCTTTAGGAGTTTGGCAGATAAGTAAAGTACATGTGCCTCTGCTTTTTCTGGGGAAAAGGAAGGAGTTCTATTGATCTAGAGATGGCAGAAACTATGCAACTCCAGACAGTTATTTGTATGTAAGAATACAGACCCAATCTTATCAGATCTTCTGATTTGTCAAGAAAAAATAGGGAATTCCATCTGAATTCTATTTTATCTGAAATATCTTGATGTTTTAATGTTAGTAATGCAGTGATTTTTTTTTTTTTAGAAAAAGCAGTTCTAGGTATAGGCAGGAGATAAAAATCAAAATGAATAATAATCTGCATAGGCTAGATACACAGATATCAACATTAGCCACTTTGTAAGAGCAGGGTACTCCAGGCATTATACCTTTAGTCGCTGAGTCATGGGGGAGGTTTGGAAAGTCCTAAACAAGGGGCCTATGCAGCCAGGATATTAGGAAGACATTCAGGAGGCCTGAAAGCATCGTAATATTCTAAACCCAGCATAGCCACAACCTAAATATTCATCCTGGTATAGCTATAAGGAATACTTCATGAGGCCCTCCAAAGTGACTTTGTTAACTTCTGAAATAGTGTGATAATTTTTATTTCCCTACTCACTCACCACACAATCATTTCCTAATTGCTGTCTGTGTTTGACTTGCACCTGTATTAGGTAATAAAGATTCAGAATTTTATTCACACTGGTTCCACTACCAATTTTACTATTCAATTGAGAAACAGATACCATTAGCTGCTAATTCCAAAATCATCAGTTTGGTGACTATAACTTGGGTCAGAAAGATTTAGCACTGCTTCTCCTTCCACATCCACAACTTCTAGCTCACAGTTTGCCCCTTAGAAGTATCTGTCTAACATTCATAGTTTAGCCTGCAAGCTGTTGCTTAGTCTAGTAATGACACATACAGAATGGTTTTATGGTCAAGCACTGAGTCATTCCCCAAGCTGCTTGTTTTAGCTATATTCTCCAAATGTATACAATATAGATTTATAAAAATGATTATGCTGAGGTTATAATTTCAAAATGAGCCACAAAGTATGTTTGAGGTACTCATCTGGCCTTTTCATTTTACAGATGAGGAAATACCCACAGGCGGTTGAGCAAATTCCTGAAGAGCATACAACTTGTAAGATGATGACTTCAAAGCTCTTTGAGTGCTATCAGAATTTGTGAGTAACAGAGGCTTCAGCCTAT
This sequence comes from Homo sapiens, assembly GCF_000001405.40. Lineage (NCBI taxonomy): Eukaryota > Metazoa > Chordata > Mammalia > Primates > Hominidae > Homo > Homo sapiens. The sequence continues at coordinate 110,814,546 of NC_000003.12, forward strand.
GGATGGGGATGGAGGCTACACAATTTGAGGTAGGGAAGGGTGGGAGTTTGGGAACCAAAAGTAGTTACTAGCTTGTTACCAAAGATAGATTTTGGTTGCAAAGAGGCAAAGTAAACTGCCAGTGACCTCACCACAAGGCAGGGGCAGACTTCCTGCTAAGGCATTAAGACCTTCTCAGTCATCTGGGGAACAAAGTGGCATTCACAAGGAACCGCCTCTGACCGCAGACCTACTGGGTAGTGGAGGTTTTTCATTCTTAAGTTTGTTCTTTCATTCCTATCAACTTGCAGATTTTCTACTGTCATCACCCACCTCCTCTCAAACCCTCATTTCTATTCAGCTTAGATCTCCTCTTTTCCTTTTGTTTTCTCCTCGATTATTTTTATCTTATTTTATGCCATCATGCCCCATTTCAAAGAAATGTTCTTGTTTTCTTAAAGCCTTCTACGTAAGATCCATTTAGCTCCTCATTCCTACAGAAACCTGGATTTCCTGTGGCAAAACCACTTCCCTCACAAAATTCCAAGTACACTCTTTTTATTCTTCATCCTGCCTCCTGTTCTCTTGGTCTCTGAGTCATCCAAAGCCTAGGTCATCCATGACTTATACTGAAATCCTATCTTCTCTGTCAGCAAGATTCTGTTTCAAAAAAAGGAGCCATTGCCCCCTCTTCATGTCTAGTAACAATGCCTTAGTTCGTACACTTAGAGTTTCTAACTCAAAACATTGTAATTGACTTTTGAATGATTTTTCCACCTCCTTCTTCCCTTTCAGCTCATTCTTCTAGCCACCAGAGCTTTTTGTGTAAACCACAACACTGATAATGTCATTACAGCACATGTGTTATCACTTCCAAGATAAAGTCAAAGTGCCTTGGCAGTAAAAATGCTTTGTCCTAGTGAATTATATGCTTTCTTATGTTTTGATCTAGTGATTTGGTTTATAAGAACTTCTTTTAAAGAAATAATCAGATTTAGAGAAATGTTTATTTTAATAATATTCTCTGTAATGCTATTTAGAAGAACCAAAGAACAAACTCAAGTGTTCCTAAATAGAGAAGCCATTTTAAATTTTAAAATATCCATAAAGTGAATTACAATGTAACCATCCAAAATTATGTTTATAAAAAGTGCTGTTGCCAGCCAATATGGATAAGCATACTATAGCTTAATTCCCTAACTGATTACAACTAAAACCTGTAGACAAAATACAAAAAGTAATTACCTGAATAGGATAAAAAAGCAGGCAGGTTGGAGAGGGAAAGTCAAAACTGAAAAAGGAAACTCATGTGAGTATAATTTTTGGGGGAGTTTTTTTTTTTTTTTTGTCTTTTCTTTTCTTTCATGAACTAGGCCTGAGAGTGAACTCCAATAACAGAAATCTGGGGGTAGCACAGGCACCTAAGACTGCAAGACAAACCTAATCTTTTTGGTCAGAGGATTGGGCAAAACATCCCCTGCAAAACAGAAAATGTAGGGGAATCCAGTAGAAAAGAGGGCAGAAGAAGGAAATTTCCTAATTCTATGTATAAATTAGCTAAACTCCTGAGCTCATCTCTGAGTTGTGAATGCATAGGAAAACCCCAAAGTAACACAGAAAAAACTTCAAGAATTGAGCCATAATATAAAGCACCACCTCTTAGTTTCTGACTAATCCCTGGTGACACGAGTGGCACAGGCTGAAAGCAATGTAGCAAAGGTTTAGAAACTAAACTGATATTAAAACCACTAATCACCTTTTGAAACCAAAAAGGTAAGAAAAATTTTAATAAGTTACTAAATATGTCAACTACCTGCTAAAAACAATAACTCTATATTTTGTTTAGAAGTTTTAGTTATAATCAGCTGGTGAGTTAAGCTACAGTGGGCTTATCCATTGAGCTGGCAATGGAACATATTATAAATAAACAACATTGTCAACAGGCTTTTAATAAAACCTACAATCTCACAGAATAATATCAAAAATGTGTAGTGTATACTCCAAAAAATTATACATAATCCAAGAAACTATGATGAATTGTCAAGGAAAAATACAATCAACTAATGCTAAACACAAGGCAACCCAAATGTTGGAATTACACAGAATGACTTTATAGCAAAGAACATAACTATCCTTTAGTTGTAGGTGTAGTTAAAAGTAAACACACTGGAAATAAATTGAAATATAGTAATTTTCAGCAGTGAATTAAAAACAATTTAAAAATGAAAACGTTAGAACAAGAAAATATAATAGATAAAAATTTTAAAATTCACTGGTGAGTTTACCTACTGAATGAAGAAAACAGACGAAAGAGACTGGAAACTTGGAGACAGCCCAACAGAAATTATCTGTTAATTAATTTATTTGTTAAGAAACATAAGGGAAAATGTTGAAAAAAATAACAGACTCTAGGTGCCTGTGGGAAAAATATCAAAAGTTATAACATCCTTGTCACTTGAGTCCTATAAGGAGAAGCTCAGAAAACTTTTAAAAGGATAAACTCAAAGAAAATTAGGATTAGACAGATCATGATCAAAGTGGTAAATACCAAACATTACATAGAGTGAGCACGAATTGCAATGATTGAAGTTTCCTCATCAGAAAACATGAAAGCCAGAATACAGCAAAATAAATCTTTAAGATACTGGAAGAAAAAACACTGTCAACACAAAATTATATAGCCAATGAAAACATCTTTTAGATATGAATGCGAAATGAAGACCTTACCAGATGAAGGAAAGCTAAGAGAATTTGCTAATAGCAGATCTATTCCAAATGAAATACTAAAGGAATTTCTTTAGGCTTAAGGGAAATAATATCACAGGGAATCCTGAAACTTCAGAAATGGAGAAAGAACAACAGAAATGATAAATATCTGGTTAAATATACTATTTTCTTTTATTCATTTTTTTAAAGTTAAAAATGTGAAGGTACACAATAGGTGTATATATTTATGGGATATATGAGATGTTTTGATATAGGCATACAATGTGTAATATCCTTTCTTGGTGTTACAAACAATCCAATTATATTCTTTTAGTTATTTTGAAATGTACAATAAATTAGTGTTGTAGTCACCCTGTTGTGCTATCAAATACTAGATCTTATTCATTCTAACTATATTTTTTGTACCCATTAACTATCTCTACTTCCCCCTTTCAACCATTACCCTTCCGAGCCTCTGGTAATCATCACTCTACTCCCTATCTCCATGGGTTCAATAATTTTAATATTTAGCTCCCACAAATAAATGAGATCATGTGAAGTTTCTCTTTCTGTGCCTAGCTTATTTCACTTAAGATAATGTCCTCTAGCTGGATAGTACTCCATTGTGTATATATACCACATTTTCCTTATCTATTTGTCTATTGATGGCCACAGGTTGATTCCAAATCTTGGCTATTGTGAATAGTGCTGCAATAAACATAGAAGTGCAGACACTCTTCGATATACTGATATCCTTTCTTTTGGATATATACCTAGCACGAGATTGCTGGATCATATGGTAGTTCTATTTTCAGTATTTTGAGGAACTTCTAAACTATTTTCCATAGTGACTGTGCTAATTTACATTCCCATCAACAATATATGAGGGTTACCCTTTCTCCACATACTCTCGAGAATTTGTTATTGCCTGTCTGTTGGATAAAAGCCATTTTAACTGGGGTGATATAATATCTCATTATAGTTCTTATTAGCATTTCTCTGATGATCAGTGATTTTGAGCACCTTTTTATATACCTGTGTGCCATACGTATGTCTTCTTTTGAGGAATGTCTATTCATCTTTTGCCCATATTTTAATTGGATTATTAGATTTTTTTCCTATTTTGTTGTTTGAGTTCCTTGTATATCTGGTTATTAATTCCTTGTCAGATGGATAGATGGCAAATATTTTCTCCATTTTGTGGGTCTCTCTTCACTTTATTGATTGTTTCCTTGGATGTGCAGAAACTTTTTAACTTTATATGACCTTTCTTCAGTTTTTAAAAAATGTATATAACTGTTGAAAGCAAAAATTATTAAGTATTTTGTGTGATTTTGAAATATAATTAGATGCAATGCACATGACACCTAGAACAAGTAGATAGTAAACAAACCTACATGGTTGTAAGACTTCTACATTTTACTTTAAATGATAAAATATTAACTCAAATAAACAGTGAAATGTTGAGTAGACATACTGTGATCCATAGAAAAACTATTGAAATAAATAGAAGCTTTACCAAAAAGCCAATATATTAATTAAAATGGAACACTAAAAACAGTTTAATTAATTACCAAAAACGTCAAGAAAATGAAACATGAAACAAGAAATAGAGGAGACAAAGAATATTAGTAATAAAAAGATAATAAATTAATAATCAACCAAATCTAATCAGATCAACAATTAAATTAAATGTAAATGATCTAAACACACTAAGAGATAGATTTTCAGGTTTTCAATTTTCTTATTATTTATTTATTTATTTATTTTTTGAGACGGAGTTTCGCTCTTCTTACCCAGGCTGGAGTGCAGTGGCGCGATCTCGGCTCACTGCAACCTCCGCCTCCCGGGTTCAGGCAATTCTCCTGCCTCAGCCTCCCGAGTGGCTGAGATTACAGGCATGTGCCCCCATGCCCAGCTAATTTTGTATTTTTAGTAGAGAAGGGGTTTCTCCATGTTTGTCAGGCTGGTCTCGAACTCCCGACTTCGGGTGATCTGCCCTACTCAGCCTCCCAAAGTGCTGAGATTACAGGCGTGAGCCACCGCGCCCTACCCAGCCCAATTTTCAGGTTTTTTAAAAAGAAGGCTCAAGTATATGTTGTCTACAAGTAATCCATTTTGAATATAAAATAACTGGTTAAGGTGGCGCACGCCTGTAATCCCAGCACTTTGGGAGGCCGAGGCGGGCGGATCACGAGGTCAGGAGATCGAGACCATCCCGGCTAAAACGGTGAAACCCCGTCTCTACTAAAAATACAAAAAATTAGCCGGGCGTAGTGGCGGGCGCCTGTAGTCCCAGCTACTCGGGAGGCTGAGGCAGGAGAATGGCGTGAACCCGGGAGGCGGAGCTTGCAGTGAGCTGAGATCCCGCCACTGCACTCCAGCCTGGGCGACAGAGCGAGACTCCGTCTCAAAAAAAAAAAAAAAAAAAAAAAAGAATACAATAAGTAAAAAGATAAACTATGCAAACATTACTTAAAAAGCTAGAGTGTCTATATTAATATAAAACAAAATAGACTTTATAACAAGAAATATTAGTACGGATGAAGAGGGATATTACATAATGATAAAGATGTCAATATACCAAAAAGAGATTACAATCAGAATTGTTGATGAACATAATACCAGGGCTTTAAAATAGCTGGAGCCAAACCAGAAAGAAACCTGAGAAATAGACAAAACAGACATTATACTTAGATATCTCAAAACTCTTCCCCCCAAAATTGGTAGAACAAATAGACAGAAAATAAGCTAATATATGGAATATTTGACCAACACTATAACCTCCTGTCCTAATTGACATTAAGAAAACACTCTACCAAACAAGAGAAAAATATTTATTTCCAGTGCACATGAAACATTAACTAAAATCGACCATATTATAGGCCACAGAACAAATCATAGCAAATATAAAAAATCAAAATCATACAACAAATATTCTCAGTTCATGAATAAATTCAACTAGAATTCAGTTACATAAAGATATCAGAAAATTGCCACAAATATTTCAAAATGAACTATGTTCTTCTAAAAAACCTATGGATCAAAAAGGAAGTGATAAAAATAAGAAAATATTTACAGTCGAATAACAATGAAATTAATGCAGCTAATGCAATGTTTAAAGGGAAATTTATTAGCACTGATTATTTTAGAAAAGAAGAAACTTATAATCTAAACTTCTACAATAAAACACATGAAAGGAGACCAAAGCAAACAAAAAGAAGGAACTGGTCAAGAACAAAATTCCATAATCTTGAAAACAGAAAATTTTTAAAAAATCAATAAAACCAATAGATGGTTATTTGAAAAGATGTATGACTAGCAAGAATAACCAAGGAAACAAGAGATAAGTTGCAAATTACCAATATCAGAAATGAAAAAGGTAAAATTACCACAGACATTTAAGAGAGAATAAGAGAAAACCATGAATAACTCATACATAAAAATGGCAATGTGGATAAAGCAGACCGATTTCTTGGAAGATAAAAACTACCTAATCTTACTTAAAATGGAATAGAAAACCTAAATACCTCTATATCTATAAAAGATATTTAATTTATAAACATTTTCCAAAAAAATTTTAAAAAAACTACAGGCCAAGATGGTTTCACTGATGAATTCTAGCAGACACTTCTGGATGAAATAAACCCAGTCCTGTACAATGACTTCCAGAAATCATAAGAGGAAACTCTTCCCAAATCATTTCATGAAGCCAGAATTACCTTGATACCAAAACCAGACAATGATATTAAAAAAAACTATAAACCAATATTCTTTGTAAACAGACACACAAAAATCCTAAACAAAATAATATCAAATTGAATCCAGAAAGGTATGAAAAATATAATTCATCACAGCTAAGTGAGGTTTGTCCTGGAAATGTAAGATTGGTACAACATTTGAAAATTAATCAATGTAATTCACTATACCAACATTCTAAAGATTAAAAAACAGATCATCTCAATAAATGTAGGAAAAGGCTTTAAAAACTTCAATATGTATTCATGATCTTAGCAAATGAGGACAAGATAAATTCCTTAGTTTGAAAAAGGTCATCTACCAAAATACACACACACACACACACACACACACACACACACACACATTACAATTAATATGATACTCAATGGTAAAAGTCCAGATGTCTTTTCCCTAAGATCAGGATCAGGAACAGGACAAGGATGTCCATTCTCACTGCTCCTATTCAACATTATACTGAAAGTCCTGGGCAGTGCAATAAAACAATAAAAAGAAATAAAAGATGTACAAATTGGAAAGGAGGAATATACTTTATTCTCAGAAATAATTTTCTACATAAAATAATATTTAAAAATCTGCAAAAAGCACTTATTACCAATTAGTGTGTTTAGCAAAGTCAGAAAATACAAGATCAAATATGTCTAGAATGAGCATCCTGAAAACTACAAAATACTGAAGAAAGAATCAAAGACTTAAATAATTGAATGATGAATCATGTTGTTCATGAATTGGTGAACTAAATATATAAGTATTTAGTATTCCAATTATTCCCAGATTGGTCAACAGCTTTATTGCAAAAATTCTCAGTAAGATTTATTCTGGGCCAGGCGTGGTGGCTCATGCCTGTAATCCCAGCATTTTGGGAGACTGAGATGGGTGAATCACCTGAGGTCAAGAGTTTAAGACCAGCCTGATCAACAAGGTGAAATCCCATCTCTACTAAAAATACAAAAATCAGCTGGGCATGGTGGCAGGCACCTGTAGTCCCAGCTACTTGGGAGGCTGAGACAAGAGAATTGCTTGAACCTGGGAGGCAGAGGTTGCAGTGAGCCAAGATCACACCACTGCACTCCAGCCTGGGCAACAGAGCGAGAGACTCTGTCTCAAAAACAAAATAAAGATTTATTCTGTAGATATTAGTAAGCTGTTTACACAATGTATATGGAAAGGCAAAGGAACAAGAACCAAAAATTTTTTGAAAAAGAAAAACACAGAGGATGATTTAATTTCAAGACTTACTATAAAAGCCACAGTAATAGACATTGTGGTATTGGAGTAAGGATAGACACAGAGGTCAATCAAATAGAATAGAGAGTCCAGAAATAGACCCATATTAATATGGTCAATAGATTTAGACAAAAGTACAAAGTCAATTCAATGGAGAAAAGATAGTCTATTATACAAATGGTGCTAAAACAATTACATACACATATGCAAAATAAAGTGAACCTCAACACATACTTTATACCTTATACAAAATTGAACACAAAATAGTACATGGACCTAAATGCAAAAACTAAAACTGTAAAACTCATAGAAAAAAGTGCAAGAAAAAAACTTTTTAACTATACACAAAAAGACTTTAGATAGACCAAAAATGCAAACTAAAAAAGAAAAAATATATACAAACTAACCTCATTAAAAATATAAACTTTGCCCTGTTAAGTAAAAGCAAGCCACATACTGGGAGAAAATATTTGCCAATCACATATCTTAATCCATATTATATAAGGAATTCTGAAAATTCGATAATAAGAAAACAAACTGCCTATTTTTTTAATGGGAAAGATGTTTGAAAAGAAACTTCACAAAAGAAGTATGGATTCGAATAAGCATGTAAAAAAATGTTCAATGGCAGCCATCAAGTAAATGCTTATTAAAACCGCAATGGGATGCCATTACACCTATGGAAATGGTTCTAAATGGTTTAAAAATACTGAGAATATCAACGTGCTGATGAGAATCCAGAACAACCAGAGTGCTAATACTTTGCTTGTGAGAATGTAAACTGCTATGGCTACTTTGGAAAATAGCTTGCCAGCTTGTTTTAAATTCAAATGTAGATGCACATTTATGATACAGCAATCTCACTCCTAGCTATTTACCCAAGATAAATTAAAGCTTATGTTCACACAAAAACCTGTGTGGAGGTTTTAACAGCTTTATTTATAGTCGCCAAAAACTGGAAGAAACTCAAATGTCCTTCAGTTGTCAAATGAATGAACAAACTCTGGTACCTTCACACAGTAAAATGCTAATCAGCAGCAAAAAAAAACTTGACAATTAAAGGCAACAACGTGAGTGAATCTCAGATCATTTTATTATATGATATTATAGAAAAGGAAAAATATAGTGATGATTACTTGTTAGTAATAGATTAGTGGTTGCCAGTTTTGAGGTTTTGAGGGCTGGGGAACGGATAAACAACAAAAACAAAATATATGAAAATTTGAGGGCAGTGATGAGGGAACTGCTCTGTCTTGATTATGGTGGTAGTTATGCAACTCTGCAGTTGTCAAAGCTCATAGAACCACATACGAAAATGAGTGATTTTGACTGTATGTAATTTTTGTAAATAATAAAACATTTTAAAATATCACATTTGGAAAGATATTTAATTACATGGGAAATTCTCATTACAAAATCAAGACAAAATTATTTCTCAATTTTGTGAAGAAAAGAAAGTCAATGGAAAAAAAATACTTCCAAACATTAATCCCAAAAGCTACCATGTCAAGATAGAGAGATTATAGATGACTTTTATTTTCTCCTTTCTCCTACTTTCCCACAGAAGTGTCTACAAAGAGCATATATTACTTTTAAAATCAGAAAAAAATCGTTTTTTAAAATAAATAATCATGACTAATAACTGCCCATTGGATTTCTCCACATAAATAATCCATAGACTTTTAGAATACATATGTATACATGTATATATGTATAAAACTATGTTCTTTTCCCTACTAAACTTTCTCTTCTCTTTATCTTTGCTGTCATAGTGAAAAGCTCATCATCCATCCAGTGTGCCATTCCTCAAAACCAAAACTGATCTTTGATCCTCTGTATTTCACATCTACCTTCCCGATTTCACCCATTCTCCTAAATTCCCTGTTGCTTTAAACTCCGAAATATTTCTTGAATTTATTTCTTTCTACCTGTACTGGTACTATCTAGCTATAAGGGCTAATTATTTTCCAATAGAAAACTGCAACATTCTGTTTCTCTTTGTTTAGAATGACCTTCTTCCCATCTAACATCCAAAACACCATGAAACTAACTTTGTGAAAAACAAATTTGACCATATAGTGCTTCTGCTTTAAACATATGAGTAGCCACCTCTTGCCTGTAGAATAAAGTGTAAGCTTTCTAATGTGGTATATGAGGTCCTTTATTACATTAGATATTTCATAAATAAATTTATAATTAAATTAATAAATGAATGAGCAAAAGAACATATTATACTTAGAGGGTATATTTGCAAAAGATGCAACATAAATGTATAATTAACTTACGACTTTCCACCCATTTTACCCTCACCCCAACTTAAATGCTTCTCTTATGCTTCTGGGGGAAGTAGGTGAGACTATGATATGAAATTCCTGCTCGAAGAGAGTCTTTACTTAGATAAAGTCAACTTTATATTTATTCTAGTGTTTTTCTAGAACTTCTTAACACCCTTTATTCTTTTTAATTTTCTCCCCTCAGAACTTGACTCAGGAAGGAGGTCCAAAAACAGGCCTAAACAACTTTCATCCATTCATATCTCTCTAAGCACTCTTATGAATAAGAGATAAAGAGGAAAAAAGGGCATCTTGAATTTTTGTGAAAAGAGAAAAATTAAGGTTCCTTTGCAATTTATTAATCTACTTATTTAATGACAGGGCATGCATACCTTGCTCTGTTAAAATAACATCTCACATGCTTATTTCCATTTGCAACCACACGATGATAAACTCATCATAAAAATTTGCTTATTATAATGTATTGCAACAAACCAAATACCACCTCTTTGTATTACGACCTTATACTTTATTGTAGATGTGTAAATGAAACAGAAACATTAATCTAAATTAAATGTGGCATTAAGGCAGGAAATATGCCCAGAATAATATTCATTCCATTAGAGTGGCATTTAGATTTCAGAGTCTCCATCCTGGCTCTTCTCTGACTTAATAGATGCTGAAATGGGACAGACTCTTGTTTATTAAACACTTCTTGGAAGGCTTCATGCTGGTCATCTCAAAACACGTGTTTTCCCAAAAATAGTGGCTTCAGAATGGTAAATGGATATTTCATGTGTAATTCAGTGGATTTTGTTTAACTCTAATTTTATTGTGTTTTATCAACAAATAGTATTTTGTAATCCAGTTATATTTCACAAGTGATCTTTTAAATTATTTTACATTTGGATATTTAGTAAAAAAAAAAAGGCAATATGTAGAAGACCAAAAATAAGAATAAAAGTAAAGATTTATTCAAGTAAATTTATTCATAAGTGGCATAGAATTTTAACATTTAAAGTAGAATTATAATTATGCCTTTGTTAAACTATGATTGTAAAAGTGTAAGATATGTTGTAAGATGGATCATTATTTTAATAATGACAATTATTTGTTTTTAAGTTAGAAAAGTAAAAACAAAATGAAACAAAATGGCCAATAAGTCCAGCTGTCATTTTAAGAATTAATAAATTTAAAACTAATACATTCATATAAAAATATAATGAAATGTATATAATTTTTAATGTATATAAGGAAAATGTAAAACTACTTCTCTCTCCTCCACTAGGTTGTTGGCCCTAAATATAACAACAGTTAATATTTTTGAAATTCAGAAACAGCATTTCTCTAAAAAAAATACACCCTTTTGTACTTTGATATTTTTTAACCTTTGCTATTGGCTTATTAGCATATATCTCTCTGTCTTACCCCTTTAATAGTTGCTCTAAGATTTACTATACAGCTTTCACATATTACAGTCTACATCAAATAATAAAAAAGCCACATATGTGTATTTTCTTCATCATGTCATTTTTTGTTGTTGTCATATGTTGTTTCTTCAGATGTTATAGAGTTTTATTACTTTGTTTAAAATAATCAATTATTGGTTAAAGAAATTAAAATGAGAAGAATGTCTTTTATATATACCCACAGATTTAAAATTTCTAGTGCTAGTCATTCCTTTGTATCAACCCAAATTTCCATCTGGTATCATTGATTTTTACCATTAAGTTAATAGTAGTGCAGGTTTGGTGGTGATTAATTCTTTTGTCTAAAAATATCTGTATCTACCTTCATTTTTGAGAGATACTTTTACTGAATACAGAGATTTATGTTGAGAAATTTTTTTGTTCTTTCCGTATTCTAAAAATGTCCTTACCTTGTCTTCCGTCTTACAAAGTTTTTGGCAAAAAGTCATTTGCGGTTTATTTACCTGTACGTAACATTCTTTCTTTTCTGTCTGTTTTCAATATTTTTTTGGCAATTTTTTTCAGCAATTTGATTATAATTTTTGGTGTGGTTTCTTCTGCTCAGGTGCATTGAGTTTTTTTGACCTCAGGGTTTATAGTTTTCAACAAATTTTAAATAATTATAATTATTATTTCTTCAAGTAATTTTTTCTATGCCCCCCATCAAATTATATAAGTTAAACAGATTGATTTTATTCCACCACTCACTTAATGCTGTGTTCTTTTTTTTGCAGTCAATTTTGCCCAATATGTGCTATTTTGAATAGTTTCTACTCTTATGACTTCAAATTCATTGATCTTTTCTTCTGCAGTGTCTAATCTCTTGCTAATCCCATCTGTTATGGGCTGAATTATGTCACCCCTAAAATTCATATGTTGAAGTCTAAACCCCTAGGTATCTCAGAATGTGACTTTATTTGGCAATAGGGTCTTTAAACAGGTAATTATGGTTATATGAGCTCATGGACCTCATTACAATATGACTGGTACTGTTATAAAAAAGGAGATTAAGACACAGAGGGAAAGCCATGTGATGATACCAGAGGACAGCCATGTACAAAACCAAGGAGAGAGAGGTCTCAGAATGAAGCCAACCCTACTGACACCTTGTTATTAAAGCTTCTAGACTTAAGGATCACGACAAAATAAACTACCGTTTAAGCACCCCAGCCTGTGGTACTTTGTTATGGTAGCCCTACCAAACTATAATAATATACTATCTAAACTATTTCTTACCTGTAGAAGTTCTACTTGGGTCTTTTTTTTTTTTTTTACCTTTTTCCACTTCTCATCATGTGCCACTTTCTTCTATGTTAAATATGTAGAGCATATTTATAATATCTGCTTTAATATTTTTCTCTGCTAATTTTATTATTTGTGTTATAATTGGGTCTGTGTTGATTAATGTTTCTCATTATAGGTCATATTTTTCTGCTTCTTTGCATGTCTGGTAATATTTTATTGGATAACACATTTTGAATGTTGCATTTTGGATCCTAGAGTTTTTTTGTATTTCTATAATAATATTTTACTTTATTGTGGCATGATGTTATTTGAAATCAATAGGATCCTTTTGAGGCTTGCTTACAAGGTTTATTAGGTCAGTCACAGTGCAATTTTTAGTCTAGGATATTTTAGCAAAAGTAATAAGGCAATGCTTATTGAAGATCTACCAAATACCCTGCATATTAAGATACGTTATTACTTTGCTGCTGGAATCACAAACATTCCTCAGTCCTGAGCTCCAAGACTTGTTAAGCCTACTGCTTTCTGGGTGTTCTTTCCCTAGTCTTGAGCAGTCTTCTTCACATACATGTACAGATTAGAATTTAGCCAAACACTTAAATGCACTCCACTACAGACTATGAAGCTCTGTCTCTGTGTGGCTCCTTTCTCTCTGGCACCCTGACAGTAAATTCTAACCACTTTGACCTTCTCAAAATATAATATCTGTCTCCTGAACTCAGTGAAACCTCCAGGCTCTATTTAGGTTCCCCCTCCCTGCATGGCAAGATAGAAATTACCTCCAGAGAGAAAATAAGAACTCATAAAATTCACCAACCTCATTCATTTACCTTCTCTCAAGGATTACAGTCATATGTGGCCTGTGGTCCAATGTCTGAAAACTACTGTTTCATATGTTTTGTCCAATTTTCTAATTGTTTAAGAACAGAGGGAAAATATGTTCCCTGTTATTCTATTATAGTCAGAAGAAGAAGTTTGCACTTTCATTCTAAACTTTTCATATCATTATATTCAAGTCTAATCCATTGTATATATATTCCATTCAATTAATATAATAAATGTATTAACAAATGTATTAAATGACATTTAGGTTATAGACAGTATTTTGCTATTTAAAATACTGTTGCAATAGCATTCTTATTCTTACAATACAGAATAATTTTGTGATTTTTTATTTTATTGGTCAAATTTGTAGAGCAGAATTTTCTGGATCAAAGAGTACAGATATAGATATTTTAAAATAAACATTTATAAATTATCCTTTGAAAAGTGCAAAATTAACACTAATTCAAGTAGTGTATAAGGGAATATTTTTCCACAGTTTTCCCCAGCATAAGAAAATTAAGTTATACCAATCTGAGAGAAAAAGTCTTTTTGTTTTGATTTTTACTTATTTAATTATATGTAAGACTGGGAATATTTTATATTTTATCAGCAATTTATTTTCATTTGCTGTCAATTGACCATTTTCTTTATTCAATAGGTATGAGCTTCTTGCAAAGAATAAATTTAGTTTATTGCCATATTTTTGGAACTATTTTTCACAGTTTTGTTTCTTTTAACTCATGTTATTTATGACATACAGAATTTTTGAATATTTAAATTTTTCAATTTTTTTGGATTTTGGGCTCTTTTTTATAAGCTTTCCTCAAAAATACATTTTCTCATTTATCATTCTAAAACTTGAATTTAACTTTTTACAATTAAATTTTTTAAAAATTTAAGCTGAATTTTGTTACAAAGAATAAAATAGAAAGTCTAGATTTATTTTTGTCCCAAATAATTATCTAGCTGTTTTAACTCTATTGACCTCCTTTTCCCAATGCTAATTTACCTACCATATTTATCATTTTAAAAAAATCCTTTTTGTGGGCTTTATATACATTACTTTGTCTGGATATATATTTTATCTCTACTCTCAAATTTCCATTATTGTAACCTCTTAAGTTTCAGTATAGACTTTATGTTTCTTGGTTTTCTGGATATATATATATATATTCCTGATTTTTTCAAATAGCTTAATAAGCTTCAATGTCTGATATAGCCAATGTACCCATTTTTCTTCTTTTAATAAATTCCCTGAATATTGACACATACTTACTTTTCTAGATGAACTTTACTTTGAGTAGAAATTTATAGATTAATTTATAAGTTATTTATAAATTGGCAATGTAAGTTGTCCTTTGAAAAAATATAGTGTATGTTTATACTTACTTTAGTCCTCCCTTATATTGTAAACTATTGTATTTTATTATATTTTCTGCTGCATTTATTCTTACGTATTTTGACTCTTTGATATCTGTATCAATCAGGGAAGGCTAACTTCTGTAACAACAAACTCAAATTCCCAGTGACTTAGCAGAATAAGAGCTTGCCTCTTGCTCACACCATAGTCCATTCCAGTATGGAGAGCAGCTTTTCCTAAAGGGATGCCAAGACCCAGGCTATATCCATCTGTGCCTCTGCCTTGGAGTCATCCACTGGATCGTCAGCATTTTTCCAGGAGTTGAGAAAAGATAGTCATGGGAAAATACTTGGTTGTTGGTCTAAAAATAACACACATTATTTTTGTGCATATTCCATCGTCTAAAACTAGTCACATATCTTGACCCAGCAAAAGCTGTGAAATGAAGCCTTCTTCTAGGCCGAAGAAGATAAAAAGGGGAAAAACAGTCTGATAAACATAAACATTGTCTCTGCTGCAATGATTATTGTGATGGGATATTTCTCTATCTATCCTTTTAAAATCATAAATGGCTGTCAGGTTTTGTCAAATAACTTCTAATTATATGTTGAACTAATCAACAGGGCATTGTTTTTACCTTTATAATTAAATGTGTATATAGCCTTACTAAAATATATTTTTTATATAGCACAACACACATATTTAAAATATACCATTTGGTGAGTTTTGACATATCTACACTGCAAAACTATTGCCACAATCAAGATAATGAAGATTTCATCACTCTTAAAAGTTCCCTTATGCCATTTTATAATTAATTATTCCTCCCATATTTGTACCCAGGAACTAAGGTTATGTTTACTATTACTATTGATTAATGCATTTCTATAATTTTATGTGAATGAAATCATATAGTACATCATCTATTTTGTCTAGCTTTTTATGCTCTGGAAAATTATCTTGATTTCCACCCAAGTTGTTGCAGGTGTTAATAGTTGTTCCTTGTTGTTTCTGAGTAGTAGTACATTCTATGAATATTCTACAACTTGTTTATCCATTCTTCTTTTTATGGACATTTGAATTATTTTCAGATTTGGCTATTATAAATAATGCTACTAAGAATATTTATGTACTGTTCTTTCTTTGAAATTATGCTTTCATTCTTTGGGATAACTGTATAGGATAGAATGGCTGGGTTATGTGGTAGATGTATATTTAACGTTTTAAAAGAAATATATTCATGTATAATTTATATACTATACAATTCATCCATTTTATATATACAATCCAATATTTGTTAGTATACTCACAGAGATGTGTAACCATCACCACAGTCTGATATTTAAATATTTTCATCATCCTAAAAAGAGACCCCATACCTATTAGCAGTCACTGCCCAATCCCCACTCTCCCATGTCACAATTCTCAGCCCTATGCAAGTAATCCACTTTTCTATTTCTATGGATTTGTTTTTTCTTTTTTTTTTAAATTACACTTTAGGTACTGGGATACATGTGCAGAACGTGCAGGTTTGTTACATAGTATACATGTGCCACGGTGGTTTGCTGCACTGATCCATCAGTCAATTATTACGTTAAGTATTTCTTCCAATGCTATCCCTTCCCTCACCCCAACCCCCTGACAGGCCTGGGTGTGTGATGTTCCTCTCCCTGTATTGATCTGTTCTCATTGTTCAAATCCCACTTAAAAGTGAGAATATGCAGTGTTTGGTTTTCTGTTCTTGGTTAGTTTGCTGAGAATGATGGCTTCCAGCTTCATCCATGTCCCTCCAAAGGACATGAACTCATCCTTTTTTATGGCTGCATAGTATTCCATGGTGTATATGTGCCAAATTTTCTTTATCCAGTCTATCATTGATGGGCATTTGGGTTGGTTCCAAGTCTTTGCTGTTGTTAATAATGCTTCAGTAAACATATTCATGTGTCTTTATAGTAGAATAATTTATAATCCTTTGGATATATATCCAGTTATGGGATTGGTGGGTCAAATGGTATTTCTGGTTCTAGATCCTTGAGGAATTGCCACACTGTCTTCCACAATGGTTGAACTAATTTACACTCCCACCAACAGTGTAAAAGCATTCCTATTTCCCCACATCCTCTCCGGCATCTATTGTTTCCTGACTTTTTAATGATTGCCATTCTAACTGCCGTGAGATGGTATCTCATTGTGGTTTTGTTGTGCATTTCTCTAATGACCAGTGATGATGAGCTTTCTTTCATATGTTTGTTGGCTGCATAATTGTATTCTTTTGAGAAGTGTCTGTTCTATCCTTCCCCCACTTTTTGATGGAGTTGTTTTTTTCTTTTAAATTTAAGTTCCTTGTAGATTCTGTATATTAGCCCTTTGTCAGATGGATAGATTGCAAAAATGTTCTCCCATTCTGTGGGTTGCCTGTTCACTCTGATGATAGTTTCTATTGCTATGCAGAAGCTCTTTAGTTTAATTAGATCCTATTTTTCAATTTTGGCTTTTGTTGCCATTGCTTTTGGTGTTTTAGTCATGAAGTCCTTGCCCATACCTATGTCCTGAAGGGTATTGCTTAGGTTTTCTTTGAGGGTTTTAGGTCTTACATTTAAGTCTTTAATCCAACTTGGGTTAATTTTTGTATAAGGTGTAAGGAAAGGGTCCAGTTTCAGTTTTCTGCATATGGTTAGCCAGTTTTCTCAACACCATTTATTAAATAGGGAACTCTTTCCCCATTGCTTGTTTTTATCAGGTTTCTGGAAGATCAGATGGTTGTAGATGTGTAGTGTTATCTCTGAGGCCTCTGTTCTGTTCCATTGGTCTATATATCTGTTTTGGTACCAGTACCATGCTGTTTTGGTTACTGTAGACTTGTAGTATAGTCTGAAGTCAGGTAGCATGATTCCTCCAGCTTTGTTATTTTTGCTTAGGATTGTCTTGGATATACAGGCTCTTTTCTGCTTCCATATGAAATTTAAAGTAGTTTTTTTTCTAATTCTGTGAAGAAAGTCAATGGTAGCTTGATGGGGATAGCATTGAATCTATAAATTACTTTGGGCAGTGTGGCCATTTTCACAATATTGATTCTTCCTAGCCATGAGCATAGAATGTTTTTCCATTTGTTTGATTCCTCTCTTATTTCCTTGAACAGTGGTTTGTAGTTCTCCTTGAAGAGGTCCTTCACATTCCTTGTAAATTGTATTCCTAGGTATTTTATTCTCTTTGTAGCAATTTTGAATAGGAGTTTACTCATCATTTGGCTCTCTGTTTATCTATTATTGTTGTATAGGTGTATAGGAATGCTTATGATTTTTGCACATTGATTTTATATCCTGAGACTTTGCTGAAGTTGCTTATCAGCCTAAGGAGTTTATGCATTGAGATAACGGGGTTTTCTAAATATACAGTCATGTCATCTGCAAACAGAGACAACCTGACTTCCTCTTTTCCTATTTGAATACCTTTATTTCATTCTCTTGCCTGATTACGCTAGCCAGAACTTCCAATATTATGTTGAATAGGAGTGGTAAGGGAGGGCATCCTTGTCTTATGCCAGTTTTCTAGGGGAATGCTTCCAGCTTTTGCCCATTCAGTTTGATATTGGCTGTGCATTTGTCATAAACAGCTTTTTAAATTTTGATATATATTCCATCAATACCTAGTTTACTGAGTGTTTTTAGCATGAAGGGACATTGAATTTTATTGAAGGCCTTTTCTACATCTATTGAGATAATATGTGGTTTTTGTCATTGGTTCTGTTTATATGATAGATTACATTTTTTGATTTGCGTATGTTGAACCAGCCTTGCATTTCAGGGATGAAACCGACTTGATCGTGGGGATAAGCTTTTTGATGTGCTGCTGGATTCAATTTGCCAGTATTTTATTGAGGATTTTTGCATCAATGTTTATCAGGGATATTGGCCTGAAATTTTCTTTTTTTGTTGTGTCTCTGTGAGGTTTTGGTATCAGGATGATGCTGGCCTCGAAAAATGAGTTAGAGAGGAGTCCCTCTTTTTCTATTGTTTGGAATAGTTTCAGAAGAAATGGTACCAGCTCCTCTTTGTACCTCTGGTAGAATTTGGCTGTGAATCCACCTGGACCTGGGGTTTTTTTGGTTGGTGGGCTATTAATTACTGCCTCAATTTCAGAACTTGTTATTGGTCTATGCAAGGATTTGACTTCTTCCTGATTTAGTCTTGGGAGGGTGTATGTGCCCAGGAATTCATCCATTTCTTCTAGATTTTCTAGTTTATTTGTGTAAAGGTGTTTATAGTATTCTCTGATGGTAGTTCGTATTTCTGTGGGATCGGTTGTGATATCCCCTTTATCATTGTTTATTGTGTCTATTTGATGCTTTTCTCTTTTTTTTTTTCATTAGTCTGGCTAGTGGTCTATCTATTTTGTTAATCTATTCAAAAAACCAGCTCCTGGATTCATTGATTTTTTCAAAGGGGTTTTCTTGTCTCTAGCTCCTTCAGTTCTGCTCTGATCTTAGTTATTTCTTATCATCTGCTAGCTTTTGAATTTGTTTGCTCTAGCTTCTCTAGTTCTTTTAATTGTGATGTTAGGGTGTCGATTTTAGATCTTTCCCACTTTCTGATGTGGGCATTTAGTGCTATAAATTTCCCTCTAAACACTGCTTTAAATATATCCCAGAGATTCTGGTTCATTGTGTCTTTGTTCTCATTGGTTTCAAAGAACTTCATTATTTCCTCCTTAATTTTGTTATTTACCCATAGTCATTCTGGAGCAGGATGTTCAGTTTCTGTGTAGTTTTGTGGTTTTGAGTGTGTTTCTTAATCCTGATTTCTAATTTGATTGCACTGTGGTCTGAGAGACAGTTTGTTATTATATCCATTATTTTACATTTGCTGAGGAGTGTTGTACTTCCAATTATGTGGTCAATTTTAGAAAAAGTGCAATGTGGTGTTGAGAAGACTGTATATTCTGCTGATTTTGGGTGGAGAGTTCTGTAGATGCCTATTAGGTCTGCTTGGTCCAGAGCTGAGTTCAAGTCCTGAATATCCTTGTTTTTTTCTGTCTCATTAATCTGTCTAATATTGACAGTGGGGTATAAAAGTCTCCTACTATTATAGTGTGTGAGTCTAAGTCTCTTTGTAGGTCTCTAAGAACTTGCTTTATGAATCTGGGTGCTCCTGTATTGGGTGCATATATGTTTAGGATAGTTAGCTCTTCTTGTTATATTGATCCCTTTACCATTATGTAATGCCCTTCTTTGTCTCTTGTGATCTTTGTTGGTTTAAAGTCTGTTTTATCAGAGACTTGGATTGGAACCCCTGCTTTTTTTGCTTTCCATTTGCTTGGTAAATCTTCCTCCATCCCTTTATTTTGAGCCTATGTGTCTTTGCACGTGAGATGGGTCTAATGAATACAGGACACCAATGGGTCTTGACTCTGTCCAATTTGCCAGTCTGTGCCTTTTAATTGGGGCATTTAGCCCATTTACATTTAAGGTTAATATTGTTATGTGTGAATTTGATCTGGTCATTATGATGTTAGTTGGTTATTTTGCCCATTAGTTGATGTAGTTTCTTCAGAGCATCGATAGACTTTACATTTTGGTTTGTTTTTGCAGTGGCTGATACTGGTTTTTTCTTCCATATTTAGTGCTTCCTTCAGGAGCTCTTGTAAAGCAGGTCTGGTGGTGGTGACAAAATCCTTCAGCATTTGCTTCTCTGTAAGGGATTTTATTTTTCCTTCACTTATGAAGCTTAGTTTGGCTGGATATGAAATTCTGGGTTGAAAATTCTCTCTTAAAAATGTTGAACATTGGCCCTCACTCTCTTCTGGCTTGTAGGGTTTCTGCAGAGAGATCCATTATTAGTCTGAAGACTTCCCTTTGTGGGTAACCTGACCTTTCTCTCTGGCTGCCCTTAACATTTTTTCCTTTATTTCAACCTTGATGAAACTGGCAATTATGTGTCTTGGGATTGCTCTTCTCTGGGAGTATCTTTGTGGTGTTCTCTGTATTTCCTGAATTTGAATGTTGGCCTGTCTTTCTAGGTTGGGGAAGTTCTCTGGATAATATCCTGAATTGTGTTTTCCAACTTGATTCCGCTCTCCCCATGACTTTCAGGTACACCAATCAATCATAGGTTTGGTCCTTTCACATAGTCCCATATTTCCTGGAGGGTTTGTTCATTCCTTTTCATCTTTCTTCTCTAATCTTGTCTTCATGCTTTATTTCATTAAGTTTATCTTCAATCTCTGATATCCTTTCTTCTGCTTGACCGATTCAACTATTGATACTTGTGTATGCTTCACGAAGTTCTCGTGCTGTGTTTTTCAGCTCCATCAGGTCATTTATGTTCTTCTCTACACTGGTTATTCTATTTAGCAGTTTGTGTAACATTTTATCAGGTTTCTTAGCTTCCTTGCATTGGGTTAGAACATGCTCCATTAGCTCGGAGGAGTTTGTTATTACTCACCTTCTGAAGCCTACTTCTGTCAATTTGTCAAACTAATTCTCTGTCCAGTTTTGTTCCCTTGCTGGTGAGGAGCTGTGTTCCTTTGGAGGAGAGGAGGCATTCTGGTTTTTGGAATTTTCACATTTCACTCTGGTTTTTCCTCATTTTCATGGATTTGTCTACATTTGATCTTTGATGCACATGACCTTTCGATGGTGTATTTGTGTGGGCATCCTTTTTTGTTGATGTTGATGTTACTGCTTTCTGTTTGTTAGTTTCCCTTCTAACAGTCAGTCCCCTCTTCTGCAAGTCTGCTGGAGTTTGATTGAGGTCCGCTCCAGACCCTGTTTGCCTGAGTATCACCAGCAGAGGCTGCAGAACAGCAAAGATTGCTGCCTGATCCTTCCTCTGGAAGCTTCATCCCAGATGGGCACTTGCCAGATGCCAACTGGAGCTCTCCTGTATGAGGTGTCTGTTGACCCCTGCTGGGAAGTGTCTCCCAGTCAGGAGGCACGGGAACCCACTTGAGGAGGCAGTCTGTCCCTTAGCAGAGCTCAAGTGCTGTGCTGGGAGATCTGTTGCTTTCTTCAGCCCTGGCAGGCAGGAACATTTGATTTGTTTTTTTCTAGACTTTTTGAATAAATGGAATTCTACAATGTATGTTTTCTGTGACTGGCTTTCTTCTCTTAGCAAAATATCTTCAAGGTTCTTCCATGTTGTAGCAGGTATCAGTACTTTATTGCTATTTTATTGCTGAATAATAATCCATTGTATGGATGTATTGAATTTTGTCTATTCGTCTGTTTATGGACATTTGGGAAGTTTTCACTTTTTTTGCTATTATGAAGAATGCTGCTATGAACATCAATGTACAAGTCTTCATTTGTAAATTTGCTTTAATTATTTTGGGCAAATACAAAGAATATAATGGCTGGGTCATATGGTAGATGTACAGTTAACTCTGAGAAACTTCTAAACTATTTTCAAATCAGTTGTAATATTCTACATTTCTACCAGAAGTTATGAGAGTTCCAGTTGTTCTACATTTTCTTCATCACTTGGTGTGATCAAGATTTTAATCTTAGCCGATATGGTGGGTATTTAACTGTGGTTTTAATTTGTATCTCCATAATAACTAATGACACTAAACACATTTTAATATACTCATTTGGTATCTATACATCATTTTTGGTGAAGTATGTGTTTAAATTTTTTGCCCATTTTTATTGGATTTTCAGCTAATTATTCAGTTGTAAGAGCTTATTATATATTCTGGATATAAGTCCTTTGTTGGATTTGTATGTTTGTCAATTGTTTTCTCCCAATTCGTGTCTTACCTTTTCCATTTTTAATACTGTATTTTAAATAGCAAATGTCTTTTATCAGCTTTATTGAGGTAAAATTGACAAAAATTGTTTATATTCAAGATATATAATGTGATGTTTTGATATATGTATATATTGAAATGATTTTCAAAATCAAGCTAATTAGCATATCCATTCCTTCACACAGTTACTTTTGTGTGTGTGTTTGTGTGGCGAGAATACTTGAGATCTACTCTCTTAGTGACTTTCAAGTATACAATAAAATATTAACTATATCCTCATGATGTAATAGGTCTTTAGAACTTATTCATTTTATAACTTCAAGTTTACACCCTTTGACCAACATATCACTTCCCCCTAACCTCCAGTCCCTTAGTAACAACTCTTCTACTCTCTGTTTTTGTGAGTTAGTCTTTTTTAGATTCCTCATAAAAGTGAGATCATGTAGCAATTTTCTTTCTATGTCTGGCTTATTTCACTTAGCTTAGTGTCCTCCATTTTCATCCATGTGGTCACAAATGGCAGGATTCCCTTCTTTGGAAGGCTGAAAAATGTGTGTGTGTGTGTGTCTGTGTGTGTACATATATATTTATATATCACAATTTATTTATCTATTTATTCATTGAAGGGCACTTAGGTTGTTTCCATATCTTGGCTATTGTGAATAATGCTGCAATAAGTATGGGAGTAAAGATACTTCTTCGAGATAGTGATTTCGTTTCCTTTGAATATATGCCTAAGTGGGATTGCTGGGTCACATGGTAGTTCTATTTTTAGTTTTCTGAGGAGCCTCCATGCTATTTTCCACAATGACTCTTCCAATTTACATTCCCACCAGGACTGCATTACATCTGTAGATTATCATGGGTAATATGGTCATTTGGCAATACTAATTTATCTGTTCCATGAACTAGGAATGTATTGCCATTTATTTGTGTCTTTTTTAATTCCTTGCATTAATGTTTTAGTTTTCAGTGTACAGATTATTCAACTCCCGGATTAAATTTAATCCTAAGTATGTCCATTCTTTTTTGATACTATGTGTGTCAATAAATTGAATAATTTAGAAGAAATGAATAAATTCCTAGACACATACAACCTATCAAGAATTAATCATAAAAAATAGAAAATTTGAACAGATCAATGATGAGTAAGGAGACTAAATAAGCAATCAAAACACTCCCATCAAAAAAAAAGCTCAAGATTTGATGGCTTTGCTGTTTAATTTTATCAACAGCTAAAGAAGAATTAATAATACTGTTTCTCAAACCTTTCCCAAAAATGGAATGGGAAAGAACACTTCTGTACTTATTTTTACAAAGCCAGCATTATGCTAACATTAATGCCAGACAAAGATATATGAAAAAAGAAAACTATAAGCCAATAACCCTCCTGAAAATAGATGCAGAAAATCTTCAACAAAATGCTAGCAAACCAAATTCAACAGCACATTAAAAGGACCATACAGCATGATCAAGTGGGATTTATTCCTGGGATGCAAGAGTGTTTTAACATAGCCAAATCAATAAAGGTGCTATATCACGTTAACAGAATGAAGGACAGGAATCATATGATCATCTCAATAGCTGCAGAAAAAGTATTTCACAAAATTCAGCATCTTTTCATTATTACAAACTCTTACCAAATTAGGTATAGAAGGCGTGTACCTCAACACAATAAAGGCCATACATGACAAGCCCACAGCTAGCACCATATTTAATGGGGAAAAGGTGAAAGAATGGTAGCTACAGTGAAGAGTCTGTTAATTCAATTGCAAATGTGTCTGAGGAAAATGATATTTGGATTACAGGAAGAAGAAAAGTATAAGATCCCCACTTATGCATATTTTTATATAAGATCAATCTGGCAAAAAAAAAAAACCTGAACAGCAAATCAGCCTTAATAAATAATACTAGAATGCAGAATGAATACAAGTCTCTCAAAGGCAGTAATTATAGTCTTGTTAGAAAAAGATCTCATCTTTTTGGATCATCATTACATACCTAGAGCTTAGCACACAGAAGTTGTTCTAAAAATATTGAATATTGAGTGACCAAGAAATAAGTAGAAAGGATGGGATAAACAGCCGACTGAAAGGATTACAAGTGAAAGATCACTACACATTATACATCTTGAAACGTCACCATGTACCCCATGAATATGTACAATTATTATTTGTCAATTAAAAAATAATTTTTTAAAAAATTACAAAGTAAAAAGTAGACATTTAATAATAATTATCATCATCACCATTATTTTACTGGTTAAAGGAAATTTAATATCCTGGATTGGATCCAAGAAAAGAAAAAGGACATTAGTGGAAACACGAAATCTAAATAAAACTTGTAGTTTGATTAAAAAATAATAATTGATAAATTCTGGATTTGGATTCTGGTCCTTTGGAAACATTGATGAAGAAAGGACGGAAGTGAGATCTAAAGGCCTCTAATGTGGATGTTTTAGAGTCTGAAGGAGTTTCAATCAGGCAAGAATTGAAACTGATTCTATGATGGAGCCTGGGACTGGACTTCCATGGATTCTGGGTGGTGAAACTTCAGAGGCCCAACAGGACCTCTGAGCTTTTGGGGGAGCCTCAGAAATAAGCATATATTTGGGAAGGGCTTATAATATTGGTCTTTTGTGAACAGTTCTGGGTTCTAACAGATGTGAGCGTAAAAGTACTGTGAGTATAACAATGTTAGGAGACTTCAGGGTTTGTAGATGAGGGAAATAAAAATGACTCCTATAGGCTTGTGGATGGTGGGACTTTGATGTTGCTCCCTGGATACTCCAAAGCCATGGTTGTCACATTTACTTTGTATCAGAATCACAGGGGAGCTTTCCAAAAAATGCAAAGCCCTGAGATTCTAATTGAATTAGAGCAAGATTCAGGCATCTATAGTTCTTCAACTTTCCCAGATTATTCTAATGTGCAGCCAAGGATTGAGACTGACTTAAACCAAAGACCAAGGAGGCTTTACGTTAGGTGCACTGGAGAATTTTTAGAAATGTATTGCAAGTTATAAAGTCTGTGGCTGGACCTGAAAGCACTGGAGGAAGAAGCTAGGATTATGAGGTGAAAACATTTGGAAAGTGGAGGATGAGTAAAGGAGAAGATCAGTCATTGGGCATACTTCATTAAATTATATTTCAAGTACTGGAATTTACTCTATCCCTTACAAGCTACTAGATTTTGTGGAAAAGGCAAAGAATCTGCAGTCAGGCACCATGAACTTAAGTTCAGCCTTATACCCTTACAAACTGCCTGACTTTAATAGATTACTCAACCTTTCTCAACCTGATTTTTGTCATCTGCAAAGTGGGAATAATAATTTTAAAACCAAGGAGTCACTGGGAATGGAGGAATTACAGAATGTCTATGTTAATGTCACTTATTATTAAATCCTGAAAGGCCTCCCCAAGCTGAAATCATTGTCAATTTGGGGGCTCTGTCCACAAACCCAGTTCCAAAATAAGAGTAGAGTTAGACAAGAAGTACAGTGATGATAAAAGAGAAGAAAAAAAGGAATATGAAGGCAGGTATCTGAGGTCTCCATGATTCAGGGTTGAGGAGCTAGATAGGAAAGAAAAGTAGAGTTTAGGTCCATTGAGGGTTTCAGGCTGAAAATGATAATATGATTTTCTCTGAGGTAGTCCAAAGATTAGATAAATGAAAGCTGCACTTCAGAGACTAAAATAACTGAGTTCACTGGAAAGCTGGGCTTTTTTCTATCCATGAGTGCCTTGAGGGACCACCCTTCCCATGCACTTCTCCACTTGTACACAAAGATCCATATTTACCAATGAAGACCCTATGTTGGCTGATGTAAAAAAACAAAGGAACCATCCTTTTCACTGTAGCTTCAAATGAAGGAATTTTTTTCTAAAAAGGATGGTCAATAATTGAAATTGAAATGAGAGACACCAAAAATAAAGTAACGTTGGCTTAGTGCCCATAAAGCAGAGGACTAAAGCAGTTCATATATTCCCAAAGATCACACTGCTAGCTTGGCTACTGTAAAAACAGGACACTGTGTGTGTAAAATTGAAAATAAAAACAGGCATTCTGTAAAAACATATTATGGTCTATTCATCTTCAGACATCTAGTTGGCACTGAAACATTTGGTTGAAATTAATTTGACCTTCCATCTGTGAAATTATTGTTTTCCATGGGCTTGGTCATATGATTATTAAGTGGTGGTTTTAGTTTCATCATTTTCTTTATTACATTTTAATATCAATGTTTTATTATCTACGTAGAAGGTAGGACTAAGGACTATAACCACATTAATCATATTTCTACTATGAGAAAGTATTCAATGAGCTTCCCATAAAATGCTACCTTGAGGAAATGTCACTATTAAAATTGTACAGCTGCTTTGAATACATAAAATTTTTACCAAAAAACAAAAACAGACACACTTAGAGTATTGTTGTTGAGGCTGGCATTATTATGATGGTTGCTCGGTGGCCCTACCTCCCCCACCTCTTCCTGTCCAGTCATTGCTTATCACTGTCACTGCATGGTCAAATAAGTCCATATCTACTTCAGTAGATGGAAAAGAATGTACAAAAATGAAAACTCATTCTACGATGATATTTGCACCTTTAAAGGCCTGCTTATTTATGATCTGCCTTCGACTTTTTACCCTTCAAGCCCTTGAGCTTAAAAATATTAAATGAAGATGTTTTCTATATTCTACCTTTAAGACCTTTTGCAAGAGGAAAGAAATTATAAGAGGAAAGAAATTATTGTCTTTCCCTTCACTTGGCTAGAGGAAAAGATATAAAACAAACTCAAAGGAAAGAACAACAAGAAAAATAATACCATTTAAGCAGAAGTCAGATGGAATATCAGTTTAGCCTTCTGAAACAGACACCACCGCAGCTACTCCATGTGTAGGGTCAATACAGAGCCCAGGAGCTAGCTAGGATGCTGTTGCTCTGATACGGCTTTCTCAGACTCTGGTGCAAATCTGCAAAATAGCTCAGACTTAGAGGCACACCAATAACGTGCATATAATTATTATGGGAAATGTATAAGTTATTTACCCAGTAAGCTCGAAAATATCAAAGGATGAATTTGGCTCTTATTAGCCTGAAGCCTTTTAAAATGACACTCAGGAAATTCTTTTCTGTTATTTCATTTGCAGATTATTTCCTGAGTAGCTCTGTACCACATCTTGAGATTACAGAACCACCCAGAAATGTTATCCTCTTCTTTTAAACAAATATTGATTTTACCAGTCTTTCTGAGACCAAATATTTTGGATGGGATGGAAATGAATGTCACATTTCTTTTTAGGGCTGTAAGTACTTAATGATGAGATTCCCTCAGGTGATATGGCACTAGCCAAAGAGTCAGTCATGAATTTTGGAAGGCGGTGTCCAGATGAAGAGAGCAGCTTCTTTGGTTTTAAGCTCTTGCTTGAAAACCAAGGCTAAAACCTGGTGATGTGGCATTTCGTCTGAGAGTGTTATTTCCATGCTAAAGAGCCGGTCCATCCCAAGTGATCAATGCTCAAACTATCTTATCTAGGATGAGCTGAATCAAATAAGCTTGGGCTCCATTGCAAAGGTTCTGTGTAAAATTCCCCTTGGGGAGAGTCACTGGGCATAAGAGCTGGTTAGCACAGAATTTGAGCAAATTTCCCTGGGGCCTCCATGGGAAACCTATACTACCACTCCTCTCCACTGTGTGTAATCTGTAAAGGCTATGGGAAGGGAGGATATGCATTTCTAAGGAGTTAGCTTGGAATTGTCAAAACTAACCCCGTCTTGTGGTTTTTGTAATTGGTTCTGTTTATGTGATGAATTACATTTATTGATTTCTGTATGTTGAACCCACCTTACATCCCAGGGATGAAGCCAACTTGATTGTAGTGGATAAGCTTTTTAATGTGCTGCTGGATTCATTTTGCCAGTATTTTATAGAGGATTTTCGCATCGATGTTCATCAGGGATATTGGCCTGAAATTTTATTTTTCTGTTGTGTCTCTGCCAGGTTTTGGTATGAGGATGATGCTGGCCTCAAAAAATGAGTTAGGGAGAAGTCCCTCTTTTTCTATTGTTTGCAATAGTTTCAGAAGGAATGGTACCAGCTCCCCTTTGTACTGCTGGTAGAATTAAGCTGTGAATTCGTTTGGCCCTGGGCCTTTTTTTTTGTTAGTAGGCTACTAATTACTGCCTCAATTTCAGAACTTGTTATCAGTCTATTCAGGGATTCAGCTTCTTCCTGATTTAGTCTTGGGAGGGTGTATGTGTCCAGGAATTTATCCGTTTCTTCTAGACTTTCTAGTTTATTTGCGTAGAGGTGTTTATAGTATTCTCTGATGGTAGTTTGTATTTCTGTGGGATCGGTGGTGATATCCCCCTTTATCATTGTTTATTGTGTCTATTTGATTCTTCTCTCTTTGCTTCTTTATTAGCATGACTAGCGGTCTATCTATTTGGTTAATCTTTTCAAAAAACCAGCTCCCGGATAGGTGCAAAAAAGGATGTCGATAAAATTTAACACCTCTTCATGCTAAAAACTCTCAATAAACTAGGTATTGATGGAACACATCTCAAACAATAAGAGCTATTTATGACAAACCCACAGCTAATATCAAACTGAATGGGCAAAAGCTGGAAGCATTCCCTTTGAAAACTGGCACAAGACAAGGATGCCCTCTCTCACAAACTCCTATTCAACATAGTATTGGAAGTTCTGGCCAAGGCAATCTGGCAAGAAAAAGAAATAAAGTGTATTTAAATAGGAAGGGAGGAAGTCAAATTGTCTCTGTTTGCAGATGACATGACTGTATATTTAGAAAACCCCATTGTCTCAGCCCAAAATCTCCTTAAGCTGATAAGCAGCTTCAGCAAAGTCTCAGGATACAAAATCAATGTGTAAAAATCACAAGCATTCCTACACATCAATAATAGAGAGCCAAATCATGAGTGAACTCCCATTCACAATTGCTACAAAGAGAATAAAATACTCAGAAACACAACTAACAAGGAATGTGAAGGACCTTTTCAAGGAGTACTACAAATCACTGCTCAAGGAATTAGGAGGGGACACAAACAAATGGAAAAACATTCCATGATCAGGGATAGGAAGAATCAATATCGTAAAAATGGCCATACTGCCCAAAGTAATTTATAGATTCAATGCTATTCCCATCAAGCTACCATTGACTTTCTTCACAGAATTAGAAAAAACTACTTTAAATTTCATATGGATCCAAAAAAGAGCCTGTATAGCCAAGACAATTCTAAACAAAAAGAACATAGCTGGAGGAATCATGCTACCTGACTTCAGACTATACTACAAGTCTACAGTAACCAAAACAGCATGGTACTGGTACCAAAACAGATATATAGACCAATGGAACAGAACAGAGGCCTCAGAAATAACACCACACATCTATAACCATCTGATCTTCCAGAAACCTAACAAAAAAAGCAATGGGGAAAGGATTCCCTATTAAATAAATGGTGTTGGAAAAACTGGCTAGCCATATGCAGAAAACTGAAACTGGACCCCTTCCTTACACCTTATACAAAAATTAACTCAACATGGATTAAAGACTGAAATGTAAAACCTAAAACCATAAAAACCCTAGAAGAAACCCTAGAAGAAAACCTAGGCAATACCCTTCAGGACATAGGCATGGGCAAAGACTTCATGACTAAAACACCAAAAGCAATGGGAACAAAAGCCAAAATTGAAAAATGGGATCTAATTAAACTAAAGAACTTCTGCACAGCAATAGAAACTATCATCAGAGTGAACAGGCAACTCGCAGAATGGGAGAATATTTTTGCAATCTATCCATCTGACAAAGGGCTAATATCCAGAATCTACAATGAACTCAAACAAATTGAAAAGAAAAAAAACAACCCCATCGAAAAGTGGGTGAAGGATGTGAACAGACACTTCTCAAAAGAAGACATTTATACAGCCAACAAACATATGAAAAAAAGCTCATCATCACTGGTCATTAGAGAAATGCAAATCAAAACACAATGAGATGCCAATTCATGCCAGTTAGAATGGTGATCATTAAAAAGTCAGGAAACAGATGCTGGAGAGGATGTGGAGAAATAATAATGCTTTTACACTGTTTCTGGGAGTGTAAATTAGTTCAACCATTGTGGAAGACAGTGCGGCAATTCGTCAAGGATCTAGAACCAGAAATACCATTTGAGCCAGCAATCCCATTACTGGATATATACCCAGAGGATTATAAATCATTCTACTATAAAGACACATGCATATGTATGTTTATTGAAGCACTGTTCACAATAGCAAAGACTTGGAACCAACCGCAATGCCCATCAATGATAGGCTAGATAAAGGAAATTTGGCACATATACACCATGGAATACTACGCAGCCATAAAAAAGAATGAGTTTATGTCCTTTGTAGGGACATGGATGAAGCTGGAAACCATTCTCAGCAAATTAACACAGGAACAGAAAACCAAACACCACATGTTCTCGCTCATAAGTGGTAGTTGAACAACGAGAACAGATGGACACAGGGAGGGGAACATCACATACTGGGGCCTGTCTGGAGTTGAGGAGTTAGGGGAGGGATAGCATTAGAAGAAATACCTAATGTAGATGATGGGTTGATGGGTGCATCAAACCACCATGGCACGTGTATAGCTATGTAACAAACCTGCACGTTCTTCAATGTATCCCAGAACTGAAAGTATAAAAATCAAAACAAAACAAAACAAAAAACTAATCCCTTCTGCTGAGAGATGGAGCATAATGGAAATACTGGAATAGAAATAGAGACAGAGAGAAGAAAAAAATGAAACTGAGCTAAATAAAAATACTTCAATGCCAAGTGGAAGCAAAAGACTCAAACCTTGCCTGGCAAAGCAATCATTGGAATGTGTGCAACATTGTGAAGTAACAAGTAGAATGAGCAAAGAAAGTCACATGGAGTTCTCATGTGACTTTGAGATCAGGTTGATCTTGGAAAAATCAATTAGCTTCTTTGAATTTCATAATGTATTTCTTAATAACATTTATGAGGTGTCTCAGGCCTAACAGAGAATGTTTTCATTTCTATTTTCTGTTCTATTCATATCTATCATGTGATGGAATGAGGACGAGGAGAAGCAGGAAGAGAAGAAACATTCAGCTAATACTCTATGTCAAGTTCTAAGTGCTAAAGTATATTTACTTCTTTTTTTCAACAACCCTATGAGGTATCTAACAGTATGAAGCCCATTTTATAGAAGAGACATTGAAGTCAATGAGGTTATATAGTATGCATGATGACACTGTCAGTAAGTTTTGAAGACAGAATTCAAACTGGGTCAGCCTAGTCTTGAATTTTAAAACCAGATTTATAATTTTTGCTACTTTCACAGGACAATAATAAAAATATGATGATGACAAAAGAGCACTACAAAATAATTATACAGAGATTGAATTATATTTCCAGAGACTCGAAACTGCTTTCCTCTTGTAAGCAAGGCAATGTTGAGAACTAGGTGAATTGATGTCAGTGAATCCATATAGCAAGTGGCATGGAAGGACCATGCACCTTCCTAAAGTGCTTCACATTACTCAGAACACTGGGGGAAGATACTTCCAAGACAAGAAAAAATGTGGGCATTATGGTTATTATTCTTCTTATTCAGTTGAGTAAACTGAATTCACACAAGTGTGAAGAATGGAGTACACAAATATAACATAGTTCAACCTTGTTGATACTAAAGTACAGTGTAATGTTCCATGAACATCTTTTCAACCAACTTCAATCCAGAATTATTCTCCCATTACAGGAGCTGGAGGATTTCACTTGTGGGGGTCATTAGGATGCTTCCAAAATACTCTGGTTTTCTCTTTCTTATCACCTAATAATATTGTCCTTCCCTATCCCTTGAAGTTAGGTATGGCCATTTGACTTATTTTAGCCAATGAAATATGAGCATAAGCGACATGTGTCATTTCTAAACAGAAGTTTTAAGCGCCAGAGTTATTCTCCAGCTGTCTCTTTTCTCTCTGATGTGGGTAACAGCAATGCTTCACAGGAAGGTATTATATAAGCCCAAGACTCCAAGTAAGGAGACAGAATAGTATCCTCTGCTGACTTGCTTTTGATGTCGTGTGTGTGAGAAATTCATCTTTTGCTGTGTTAAGTCACTGAGACTTGGAGACTGTTCCAAATTTCAATCAAGGGACTGTTCCCATCCTTAATGATATACAAGCTCATCTCTGTATTTGTCAGAGGTCAATGGAAAAACCAAAAACGACCATACCTATTCTTTTCGCAGCAACGTTATTAACGAAGTGGACTAGGTGCTACAGAATGAATGGAAAGCTTGAAGGAGAAAGATTTAGGTCAGACGGTGGCAAACTGTAGCCTGAAGATCAAACACACACCTGCTATCTGTTTTTGTAAAAATAAAGTTTTATAGGGAATAGCCATGTCTATTTGTTTATGTATTTTCTATGGCTATTTTTAAACTATCACAGAGTTAAGTAATTGCAACAGAGATTGAATGGCCCACAAAGCCTAAAATATTTACTATCTGCCCTTTAAAGAAAAAGTTTTCCTGTTGCTGATTTAGGGTAAGCTTCCTAGAATGGCTTTTAACAGCATTCAGAACCAACAAACTTAAGAAGCTACTACCTCTAAGGCTAGAACTGGAGGTTTGCCAGAAGAAAGAAGGCAATTTTGCCTCCAATGCATATCTATCCCTCAACAGAGAGAAGGCTGGAGAACAGACACTGGAGAGCTGCTGCATAAAAACTGCACATTTCCAGAACATTGTATGAAAAAGATGCAAAAAGGCAGCCTCTGCCTCACTTCTGTCTCCAAAATCTTGTGCAAGAGAACCTAATTGGTAGAATCTAGTTCTCATCCAGAATTTTAGCTTTTGGGCTGCAAAAAAGAAGCATAAAGTTCCTAGCTCTCCAACTTTTTATCTAAAAGCACAATGAAAGGGGAATTGAATTAACCAACTCAGAGTATTTAGCTGACAGTTACTGTTTTACTGTCCTCAGATTTCTGGGATAGTCCATCTTCTTTATGATTTCACATGAATCCTTGCAATACATACTTTTTTATTTAGACTAATATGAGTGCATTCCTTGCAAATCATTAGAGAAGAACTTGAAATTGAGCTACCGAAAATATGTATCCTGTCTCAATTTTATAAAAAGACACATAGATGTATACATTACATCTTCATTTATGTATCAGTCACAGCAGAGTTACCAAATGGCAATAAGTGGTTAATAAGTGTACATTACTAAATTGTCAAAAACCTTCCCAGTCCATCCATTTCCTTCTACATCAAATAAAATTATTTTCATTTGAGTTTCTAGAATAATCATAATCTGGTCCTATTCTATTTAACTACATACCCATCAGCTCTTAAGTCAGTTTCCCTGTCTCTGCTCAGAATGATCTGGCTACATACTGTCCCCTAAGTCCATGTTAACACCTACCTCTGTGCCTTCCCAATGTTATTCTCCCTTTCTTGTTTCCTTTTCATCCAGCATATCAAAGTTGTTCAGAGCCAACTTCTCAAAGCAGCTGTCTACGCTTGTTGTCTCAATTCCACCCTGACATCAATTCCATCAGTCCAGGGGAGAGCAAAATCATGGACGTCATCAATTTAGTGAACATTGGTCCTCAGATTACTTGACCCCTCAGCCACATTTGAAGCTATCGATTTCTCTTTCATGTTAAAATACTCTCGGTTTTTAGTTTCTGTGACTCTTAGTTTCTGTGACAACACCCTTGCCCAGTGTTTGTGACAACATCCTTCCCCTTCCCCTCTCTACTAACAGCTTGTTATCTTCCAACCAGGAGCTAGATCAGATGTTTCTTCAATCATCTGACCTAGGATCTTCACTATCTGCGTTCTCTTCCAAGGTAAGTTTGTACAAACCCACAGAATCAATTACTATCCTCACACTGATGATTGATTTTGGTTTATGTTCTAGTATGAAGAAGATAATTCTCTCATTCCTTTTGTTTCTTTTCTTATAGAGAGATTCCCATTATAGAGAAACCCTCTATAACCCTTTCTTGTTCGTTCCCAAGAGAGAAGAAATTATTTGTCAAATGCTAATTTTGAGAAGAATAAATGAAAAATGCTTGGATCATCACTTTCTTCTTTCTCCTTAGAAATCAGACACAAAGAGCATATATTCTGTTCTCTTCCTCCATTTGCAAGTTTCCAGGCATGGGGTCCACTCATGTGTGATACAGCCCTGCCTGTGACAGATTAGGTAAGTCTGTCTATTTGTGGGGTTCACTGTTAATAAACAGAGTGCCTGCAGTCAAAAGCCACGTTCATCAGTATCAGTCTTAGCAGTAATAAAAGCAGTTTACCTCTCCATCTTCTCTCTTGATTTATGTCTCATTAAATTTGAAATTGAATAGAGAAAGTGGCACTCTGTAATGGGCCCATATACAACAACTCTGAAATAATTGAGTCCCATTTTCAGAGCAACCACTTCACTCACTTCAGAAGTTTTTATTGAACATTTACTATGCCCAGACACTGTACTATATACTGAGAATGCATAGTAGGTATTCTCAATGAACAAAACAGCTAGCTTTGCTTCCTTTTTCATTTATTTGTTTGGTCAACAATTATATATTGAGCATCTGCTTTATGTGCTTGATATGCATCGCTTAAAGTAAACAAACAGAAAATGAGATACATGCCCTTATGGAAATTTATTTTATTAGGGGAAGATACACAATAAATATAATAAATAATTACATAATATGTTAGAAGGTATTACATACTACAAAAAAAGGAAAAAAGAAACAGTAGAGACGGGTAGGGAATAAGGAGAGTTGATATAGTATTATGATTTGTAATAGGTTAATCAAGGTAAGTCTCCTTGGGTGGTTGAGCAAAAAAGTGGAAGTACATGAGCAGTTAGCTTTGTAAGCATCTGAGGAAACTATTTAGACAGAAAGAATGGCCAGTGCAAAGGCCCTTAGGCAAGATCATGGTTGGTGTGCCTGTAAGGGAACGGTAAGGAGGACTGTGTGACAGAAGTAGAAAGAACCAAGGGGAGAAATATAGGAGATAAGGGTAGACACAAACCCTGGGGCCAGAGCATGTAGTGTCTTGCAGGCCATTGTCAGGACTTTGATATTTAATGGAATCACTCTGGCTCCTGTATTAAGAAGAATGCCTCACTGGGAATAAGGATAGAATCCCAGACACCAGTTAGGTGACTTTTGCTGAAAGTATAGTGGCTTAGACCAGGCTAGTAGCAGCAGAGGTGGTGGAAAATAGTCAGAGTGTAGATATAGTTTGAAGGTAAAGCCAGCAAAATTTTCTAAACAATTGTATCTGAGATGTTAGAGAAAGAGAAAATCCACTGATAAAACCAAAGCTGCTTTTGCTTTTGTCTTTTAATTTTTGGTGTCCCATTTTACTTTCTGTTTTAGCTTTTTCATTATACCACTTTGCATTAATTATTGTTTTACTTTTTTCTTCAGGAATTACAATACACGGCACTTTGGGAGGCCAAGGCAGGTGAATCACAGGTCAGGAGATCGAGACCAGCCTGGCCAATATGGTGAAACCTGCCTCTACTAAAAATACATAAATTAGCTGGGCATGGTGGTGGGTGCCTGTAGTCCCAGCTACTTGGGAGGCTGACGCAGGAGAATAGCTTGAGTCCTGGAGGTGGAGGTTGCAGTGAGCTGAGATAGCGCCACTGCACTCTAGCCTAGGTGACAGAGCGAGACTCCATCTCAAAAAATAAATAAAAATTACTGTTCTGCCACTTCACATGAAATGGAACAATTTTTCCACAGTATAATTCCAACTCCCATCCTATGTGCTACTGATGTCACATATTTTACTTGTATCTACATTGTAAATAGCACAAGAAAATATTTTTATTTTTTTGTTAAATTGTCTATTTTTTAAATTTCAAGAATAAAAACATGAGTAGTTGCTTATGTTTGCCCATATATTTATCATTTCTGAAACTCTTCATTCCTGTCTGTAGATCTGAATTTCCATCTTATATTATTTTCATTCTACCTGAAGAACTTCCTTTAGTATTTCTCGTAACGCTAGTCTGCTGGCAACAAATTTTGTCAGCTTTCCTTTATCTAAAATTGTCTTTATCTCATGACCATTTTAAAAGATGTTTTCATGGAATATAGGCTTTGAGATGACAATATGTTTTTCTTTTAGCTTTTTAAGGGTCTTTCTATCATGGTTCTTCTGTATGTAAAGTCTTTTATTCCTCTGGCTATTTCTGTGATTTTTTCTCTTTAACTTTAGTTTTCAGCGGTTTGTATGACTGTGATGTGCATCAGTATGGCTGTCTTTGTATGTTCCCTGCTTGGGGTTTGCTGAGTTTCTTGCATCTGTAGGTTAATTTAGAAAATTTTGGCCCATATTTCTTTTTAATATTTTTCAGTCTTGTTTTTTTCTCTCCCGTCCTTCTGGAAGTCCAGTTACATGTATATTTTACCTACTGATATTGTTCAATAGGTCACTAAGGCTCTATTCCTTTTTTATTTCCTTTCTTTTGGTTCAATCATTTTTCCTCTCTCTTCTATGTCATATTGTGATCTCCTAAAAGTTCTTACTGAAAATGTGTCTATATATATATATATATATATATATATCACTCTTAACAATCTATCCCAATGATCAGATATACCCTAGTTTTCATGGTGGTAGAAGAAAGACTTCTAAGAAAAGAAACTAAAAATTTGTATAGCTGCTTTTGGAAGAAGATAATTATCTTTCTCTGCCAACAGTGAACCAAATAAAAGTCTAGCATGAACATTTGGCAAATATGTGAAACCTTGTTGCCATGGACTTGAAGGATGCTTCATATAGCAAATTGAAAGACATTTCTGTGTTGGGTAGTCTGTTCAAAGTGTGGCTCATTTAGTTACATCACAGCATTCAATGATATTTTACTTATTTTGCCAAGGTTTAAAGCAAACAGTCATTAATTTGTAGTTTATTATGATAGTTACAGAAAAACTCAAAATATTTCCAGTGGACACATTTTGATAAATAAAACAACTAACATTCATTAAAAAGAAAAATATATACTTCCTACCCTCAGCCACCTCCTTTCACTCTCCCAAATTGCTTATGAAGGGAGTTTTTGTTGCTGCTTGTTGCAGTGATCCAGGCTTGCTGCCTAATTCTCTTTTCTATTTCTCACTTGACTCTCAATCACAGTGCCTAAATAGGTGCTTAAAAACAAAATCAAAGCCCTAGTGTTTTGGGTACATCACAGAGTGGATACGTGCTCTAAATGAACGAGTGCTTCTCTGAACATTATTTTTCAAAAAGGCCCTGAAGATGTCATCTTGGATTTTATCTGCTTTAAGCAAGTGTTCATCTGTTGCTAAATCCACAAGACAGAATTACAGAGACTAAGGATATACAGGGGGTCAGAAAAAAAAACAGTGAAAATCTTCTCTGAAGTGAATATGAGAATCAGGCTGTTAATTCATCATTGAATAATTATTGCAAATCCAAAGTAGTAAATTGACAGGGTAGATATTGGAGGAGACCTACTGAACTATATGCCACTAAGAGAAGAAAAGAAGACATAAAGGTCATAGTTCTTGGTCTTAATATTCTCAGGATCTACTAAAGTAGACAAGACATATGCAAACCCAACCAAGGAAGAGAAACAAAGAAAGCTATGTAAAAAATCAAGAATAGAAAAAAAAAATCAAAAGCTGGAAAAAATAGATCAAATTTTAGAATGATTTGTTTTGGAGTATTTGCATTATAATATTAATAAAGTTAAATAAAAGTAGAACCCCAGAGCAATAAAACATGCTGTGGGGTAAACTGTAAGGCATAGGGATTTAAGGAAAGAAATTCATTCATTTATTAGTTCTCTCAGTAAATATTGCATTGAGTATTTATTACACATCTACTATGGTCAAAAAGCAGTGCAAGAGAATTGTTCTTGATACTCATGGAGCTGATTATGGTCTGGTGGGTGTGAACTGATATTGGCTAATTAACCGTAATAAAAGAATGTAAGCTCCACTTTCTCCCTTGATTCCAGGACAAAAATCTCTTGTTTTTTCTCCCACCTCTCTGATCACTCATTTTCAATCTCCTTTCCTAGTTTCTCCTCTCATCCCTGGGCTTCTAAAGGTGAAGTTCCAAAGACTCTATCCTTGAGCCTCTTTTCTTTTCTTTTTTAAAAATCTATGGCTGGTTCCTGGGTTGAGTTGAGTTCCCTCAAAATTCACATGTTGAAGTCCTAACCCCTTCTACCTAAGAATGTGACCTTATTTGAAAACAAGGTTGGTGCAGATGTAATCCGTTAAAATTAGGCTATACTGGAGTAGAGTGGACCCCTAATCCAATATAAATGGTATCCTTTTAAAAGGGGAAATTCGGATGCAGACACACACGCAAGGAGAACACCATGTGAACCTAAAGGCAGAGATTAGGATGAGGCATCTATAAGCCAAAGAACTCCAAAGATTGTCAGCAAACACCAGAAGCTAGAAGAGAGGCATAAAACAGATACTTGATTCTCCCTCATAGCCTTCAAATAACTGATCCTTCTGATGCCTTAATCTCCAGCTTCTAGCCTCCAGAGCTGTGAGACAACAAATTTCTGTTGTTTGAGCCACCCAGGTTGTGGTACTTTGTTACGAACTCCCTGTCAAACTAATACGTCCCCAGGTAATCACATTTTGCCTCAGTTTTAAATTACATATCTATGCCAGAATCTCCCACATTTACATCTTTTATAAGAATTTCCTTTCATCTTCCAGATTCATGTATGCAACCACCTACTGACATTTCCACTTAGATGTCTTAAAAACATCTCAAACTCAATATGTCCAAAATTGAACTCCTGATCTCTTACCATAAAACGTGTTCACCTATAGCCTTCCCTGTCTTATTAAATGGCAGTTCTATTCTCTTGGTTTTCAGGTCAAAATCCTTGGTGGGTGTAATTCCTGGTTCCTTTCTTTTTCTCATATTCTATATTCAGTCTTCCAGGAAATCCTGTTGACTTCTCCTTCCAAATACATCTAAAATATATTATTTTGCCCATGACCTCTACTCTATTACCCACATCTGAGCTAGCATCTCTCTCCCCCAGATTCCTGCAACAGCCACCTAACCTCCCTGCTTTTACTCTTAACCCCCTTAATCCATTCAACACAGCAACTAAAATGATCCTTTTAAAATATCAGTTGCCATGTGTTGATCCTCTGCTCAAAGCTTACAATGGTTCACCTTTTCCTTCAGTGGAAATGTCAAAGCATTCACAATGGCCTATGCTGGTGGTTTAACACACAGACCTTTTCTCCTCTGTCACATTCTCCTCAACCACACTGATTGAACAACTTCAGACTTTTATCAAGTGTTTTGAGTTAAATTTAATTGTATCAATTGAATTGTCATTTCTGTGAACTTCAGTTTCTTCCCTTGTAAAATGAAGAGGTTTAAATAATCTATACGGATTCTTTCAGCTCTAACACTTATAATTTTTCACTAACAAGAGAATTCACTCTACTATGTATTATGGTGACACTGTGTTGAAGGAGTCCAAATGAAGCTACTATTTTGTAATTATATATAGAGTTGATCTAATCACCAAAGACAGAGCACTAGGCAATCTAATTCCCAAAGTGAATTTTATTCCGTTTAGCTGACTACATTCAAACAAATTAGATAATTTGATAACCTTAGCCACTATGTAAGAAACTAGTAATCTTTAGAAAAGCTGCATGTTCTGAATGGGCCGGTCCACATTTTACGTGAATCAAGAGGACATATACACATGTAAGAATACCTACATGTTATATATATATTATTGTAAAGTATACCTAGCATGCTGCAGTATAAATACATCACTATAATATTTGTAAAGTATCTCAATATTGCCAGATCACATATAGTGATATATTATCATGAGATAATTGCCCCTTATCTCATGACTCCTACTAACCTCCCGCCTCCAAGACTGAACCTTGAGTATTATTGCTCCATGAAAAGTGAGAGCAGACATTTGGTTTATTTATTGGTAAAATAATAAATAAGCTTGGAAATCAAGCATGGAAAAAGAGAGAATTTTTCTAACTTTCATAGTATATTTAGCCAAGTGTGCTCAGACCATAGAGTTTCCATCAGGGACAAGACAAAAAAAAAGCTAGGCCAAGGGATTTGGTGCCCTAAGGTAGAAGGAAAGAACCTTCTCCATACTTGACAATAGAATGTGTTTTAGATAAGATAAGGGATGCACTGAAAGCAGATGCTACTCATATATGAGTCTGGAAAACGCCATGATGGAGAACAGTTCTGTACCCACATAACAGGCTACAGCATGGTAAAGAGGATAGGGCAACTTGATGGGCAAAGTGAGATGCAGTTGGTACTCCTAAAGTAGCCTCAGTTTCTCTGTGGCATTTTGATAAATCGAGAGAAGGTAGATCTTCTGTAAGGACAACTCTATTCTCACATTTAAGCTAATCATCTGTGTTTTGCTGGCAATTTCTGTTACCTGCATCAATTCAGAGACAAAATTCTCTGTGAAGTTCTCATGTGTTCACAAATCATCCACTCCTGTCCTTTCTCTCTGGCCCCCATACCAATGGTCATGGCTTTCTGAGACACTTGAGGGAAAGGGC
The DNA here is from genome assembly GCF_000001405.40 of Homo sapiens. Classification (NCBI taxonomy): domain Eukaryota; kingdom Metazoa; phylum Chordata; class Mammalia; order Primates; family Hominidae; genus Homo; species Homo sapiens. The sequence goes on from NC_000003.12 coordinate 110,855,780, forward strand.
CACTTTGGCCAGAAACCAGCAAAGGGAATTCCAAGGGTGCTTTCTCCTGATGCTCCCAAAGTACCCAACCCTCAATATTTCAAAGCCTTTTCATTGAGCTACACATCAGCACTTCACCATCCCCATTCTACTCACAAATCTCAAATGACTAAGATGCCACTGTGTATGTGTCAAAGTCATGGTCAAATGGCAGAAACTGAAGCAATCATTCATTCTGATTGGTGTTCATTCTGGAATGTGATAGGAGTGTTCTGGGATGACTAGGGTAATCATATCTGTCTGACTTTAATCCAGAAAGATAACAAGGAAAAGGTGAGTTGTAAGTGAAATTTTAAAGAACATTGGAAGGCAGGAAGAAGTTAGGGCATTCCAGCCAATGGGAATAAAAGAGTGCAAGTTGGAGGCCATTTATCTGAGATATACAAAAGAAGCACATTTGTTTTACTGGAGCAGAAACTGTGTCAGCGATGAGACATGGAATAATTACAGAGTAAAAGCTGATGGCAGTTGTGAAGGAATCATTTGATATAACTTCCTTAAGGCCAAAAAAATAGTATTTCTCCACCTCAAAAAAATAGTATTTCACACTTCAAAATAAAAAATACAGCTAATACTGCCTTTCAACTGAGATTATATATAGAAGCATATTCATTTTTTAATGTTTTTGCCCCAAATAATTTTCTCCTTTGGGAGGCAGTATTAGAACTATGATGATAATGAAAGCACTCAACAACTGTAGCCACATTTGTAATGATTTAGCAGTACTTAGCTGAGGTATCATGACATCAGAAAACACAACAAATGCTTTGGAGGGACAATGAGTGGCCTCTATACTTAGCAACACTGTACCTGCATATGTTATAGGTGGAAAAACCTCCTGGGATAAGCACTGGATAATAAAGAATTTGATTCATCTTTGCTAAAACTTCTGATAAAGAAGCTAAGTTTGACTTTCTGGCTATGGCAGCAAGCATTTAGGTCAGATACATTCCAAGTATTGGAAATAGGTATGTGTACATAGCATTTATGATATGTGTTCTGTGTATATGCAAGCACATTCATAAATACATATACACACATATTTGTGGCAGGCAAACTCACTTTTATTTGAGAACTCATCTTAGATAGTAGCCATCCCATTGACTCTAGATCAATCAAGCAATATTTATTGAAAAATCTATATATTATTTGTGCTACATGGGATGGAAGCTGGAAAAACTATCTGAGACCCTCAGACAGCTTTCATTTGTCTTACCTTAGAGCAGCAAGAGCAGGAAGACAAAGGATGGAGCTTGAACCTGGCACATGTCCAGATAACTGCGCAGCCCAAGGTGCAGAGGGTTTGACAAGACCTAGCATGCTGCAGGCAATAGTGAGCAATTTACCACCAAGAGGTCATGAGCTTCCAACAGGTAGACACTTTTCTTCCTAAGAAATCCAAGGCAGAAACACCTGTGGTTTACCTTCAGTTGTGAACGTTTATTCCAAGAACACAAGAAGACAAGGTCACATGAAAGTTACCCCATCAGCCTGATAATCATGCTAGGATTCAGATTTATAGGCCGTTCAGAAATCTCATAGACACCCAGAAAATGTGTTCAGCATCTTCTACCTGGGACTCCCACAGAAGTTATACATTTCTAAATGAAAAAGGATAATATGCCGTCATTCTCTATAGTGCACCCATTGTGTAGAATTTACCCCAAGCCACTTGAGAGACCCCTGAGCTTCCTCAGATGCACCCTTTGTACTTATCTCATGCTCCTGTCTCTAACTTAATTGTATCTGGCTACTGCACCAGAGTTACTTTCACTAAAAATCCACACTGTGAGCCCTACAGTAGCCTCCAAAAATAACAGTTTTCTTGCCACTTTCCCTTTCAAAGTTAGTTGCATACAAATAAGCCTTTGAGGTACCACAGACTCTACCAGCCTGCAATGGAAGAACTCTGAGTTCCAGCAGCAAGAGTCAATATCTGTTCATGGGTAACCTCCTCAGTCAAGAAAACCAAAGGGAACAGGTATCACCTATCATGAACCAAAGTAGAAGCAGAGTTTTAGGAAGTGAAATGACAAAGCACAAGTCATTAGTCGGGCACCAGAGCTGGGTCAGGTTGTAAATGAATGATCTCATGGTCAAGGTAGAGCTAAATCTTCATGAAAAAAAAAAAAATGATGGTTTTAGCTAAAGAGCGGGATGATAAAAGCAAAAGATAAAGTTCAAAGAAGCCATATGAAGACACAGTATAAAAGGTGAAAAGCTAAATGACAGTATAGGCAATAAATCATGATGCACGGTGCCAAGGCAGTGCTAGTGTTCCTCAGGCCTCCTTCAGTCACTGCCACTGCCATCACTCCAGGAGCCACCTTCACAGCAAAGGAGATGTTTGGACTCAGTCTTAAATGAATAGGCATCATCAGGAAGTGGGAGAGAGGGGTGCAGGGTGGGGGGAATCAATGTGACTACAGCATAGGGTGGGTGTAGGGAAGGAGCAAAGATAAACATTGTGTAAAGAAGAATAAGATGGGTGCAGGCACACCACCAGAATGGATGTTAATAAAGTTTGTCTCTACTACATGAGGCCTAAATGAGAAACTGTCATTCTGTGACCACATTTATTTGAATATCCAGAAAGAATATTCAGAAGAAATCTCACAAACACTTTACATTCTTCACACTGAACATAAAACAAAAAATACAAGAGAGTCTACAGATGTAGTCAGCGTTAAGTCCGCCTTAATGAGGCATGGCATAATCTGTCAACTAACCCAGGAACTGAAGCCCACACTACCAGCCAGGCATATCAGGAGAGCACTGCATCAGACGTCTCAGTTCGTCAATCTAATAAATGAGTTCTCAAATGTCATTTTCCTTCTATATGCAGCAAATATTTTTCTATTATTTAGTTATACTGTTTTAATTGGATTAACTCTCAGTGCACCAGCATGGTCTTATCTGAGAGAGAGATTTACGAAGCTTAATGGAGAAAAAGCAAGCTGCAAGAGGAAGGGAATCACAGTTCAGAGGGACATGTGGTATATGCTTGTCAATACGGAAAATAAGCATGCTAACTTCATATTTTTAAATTAAGGATCATAAAATCAACTGGTGATATGCCTTTTATTTCTTTAAGAGAAACATTATCCATGTTGAATATCCTTCAGCAAAATATGCATTTTAATTAAATGCTACAGACAGGGGTTATGCTCCTGGTCTGTTTGCCATATGTGACAACTATAAGAGAGTTATTAATATAATTTGGGAAAAGAGTACAAAACGATATATGTCACTTATAAACCTGGGTAAAATAACTAGCCAGGCTGCACCTTGGCATATGGAACCTTTTCATGTGCAGCAAAATTCTGAATTATAATGAATTCAGAATTTCATTTCAGAATTTCATTTCAGAATTTCTGAAATGATAATGAATTGTTATTAAAATATTTTGCTAGTTTAGAAGTAGTTAAGTCAATAAGATAATATTTATTGTTTCAACGTAAAACTAAACATGTTAACAGAAATTTTCCAAGTCACAGAGTGTTTTATCAGCTTTTAAAATTTAATATTAAATATGTTTTAAACCATTTTCCTTTGTAAGCATGTGAATCAAGTTTTTCCAGCCCTTGGTGACTTTTCTGTACATGAGCTTGATATACACCGCACTTTCATATGCATAAGCCTTGCGCGTGTATGATCTGTGTGAAATGTGGGCAGTCCCTTCAGAATCCACAGCTCGACTGCAGATTGCTGGCTTCTCATACAGAGACCATGGTTACCTAATCGCTCAATTTATGTGATGACTACAGACAGCCAAACTGAACAAAACCCACTTCAGGGATTGAATTACATGGTTTAGCTGCCTGCATTGATCAGTTTTACTGTATTATTACAAAATAGTCATTTCAGTTTGTGCTAGCTCCACATACTATGCAGTATATTCCCTTGCTCATAAAGAATTACAGAATTTTTGAGACAGAAGGGGCCTTAGAGATTAATTCCTTATTTTACAGGTGAAGAAACTGAAGAATCAAAATTTGTTCAATTCAATTGGCACAGTTAAATCAGGAAGAAAACACTTGCTGAAATCTGAATCATTTCAATTTGTTTTCTAGGACCAGCATCATAAAACAGCATATCAGACCCCTTGGCTAGACTGATTTTAGGTAAGTTTCCTAAACAGGACGGCATAAATGAGTGAAGATATTGATCCTTTAGACCCTAGCATGCCTGAGAGGACTTAAGGCAGACCGAACTCCTGGGCCAGTCACCCCAACTCTTGAGTAAACACGACTATTTATCCAGGTGTGCCAAATAAATACTATCATCTTTTGTTAGTGAAGTGATATGCAGGGATTCGAAAGAATGTGATCTTTAGTGCTTCAAGCAATTAAATCTAGCCTATCTGTATCTAAGATATTTACTTTATAAAGTTATGGGTTCTTACTGTATTACTTGTACTGTATTACTCATATTACTTCGTAAGAAATTTCTTACTTACCAAACAGGTCTTTCATTTATCACATTATGCTGGCATAATATTGACTAGAAGCCTTACTGATAACATGAACAGTCAATTAACACATATTTTACATATTATATGTATTATGTACTGTATACTTAACAATAAAGTAAGCTAAAGAAAAGAAAATGTTATTAAGAAAATCATAAGGAAGAGAATATGTATTTACTGTTTAGTAAGTGGAAGTAGATCATCATAAAGGTCTTCATCCTCATCATCTTCACATTGAGTAGGCTGAGGAGGAGAAGGCACAGGAGGGGTTGGTATTGCTGTCTCAGGGTGGCAGAGTCAGAGAAAATCTGTGTACAAATGGGCCAGCGCAGCTGAAACCTATGTTGTTCGAGGGTCAACTATATTTTTATGTATGTGAAAAAAATTTTAAAATTCAAGGGGATGTATTGATATGAACTATTATTAGAAGTATTATATTTCATCTAAATAAAAATATTATGTTTTATGTTAGGAATTCCCACCCAACTGTCATATATTTTGAGGGTACTAAACCAGATTCATTAGGTGAATAAATATTATCCTTCAGGAGAAGATATAATTATGAGTAAGACACAGTGCACTGTGTTAGCTAGAATCGGCAAGTCTATGCCATAATAACAAATAAATACTAATATCTCAGTGGCTTACTGCAACTCAGTCAAGTTCAATGCAAGTCAAGATTCCCTCCTCCATTTTATTGTTATACCATCTGGAACATATGTCCTCCAAGATCATGACCGCAGGAGAAAAGAAAAATGGGGGAGACATATCTACTTCTTAACTACTTGACCCAGAAATGATATACATTAATTCTGCTCACATTTCATTAGCCAGGATTGATTACATCTTTCTAACCTACCTGTCAGAGTTCTAGAAAATGTAGGAGATCACATAAATATTTGGTGACCACTGATAGCCTCCACTTTATTCACTCAGGAAAAAAATATGTATACATATGTGTGGTATAGATGTACATAAATAAACTTTTCTAGAAAAGTTATTTTAAAATAAGATGTCATGCTTCTGTTTTTTCTTATATAGCTATTAAAAAGCATAACATTTATTTACCCAAAGGACCTCATTTAGTTCCCTCAAAATATATGACAGTTGGGTGGGGATTCCTAACATAAAACATGATCTTTTTCATTCAGATGAAATATAATACTCTTAATAATAATTTGCATCAATATATCCCCTTGAATTTTTAAGTTTTTTTCACATATATGAAAATATAGTTGACCATTGAACAACATTGGTTTCAGTCATGCTGGCCCACTTATACACAGACTTTCTCTACCTCTGCCACCCTGAGACAGGCAAGACCAAGACCAGCCTTTCCTATTCCTTCTCCTCCTCAGCCTACTCAATGTGAAGATGATAAGGATGAAGATCTATATGATGATCCACTTCCACTTACTAAACAGTAAATATATGTTCTCCTTCTTATGATTTTCCTAATAACATTTTCCTTTCTCTAGCTTACTTGATCGTTAAGTATACAGTATATAATACATGTAATATATAAAATATGTGTTAATTGACTATGTTATCAGTAAGGCTTCTAGTCAACATTTAGCTATTAATCATTAAGATTTTGGGGTGTCAAAAGTTATGTGCAGATTTTGGACTATGCATGGGGTAAGCCCTCCTAACCCCCACCTTGTCCAAAGTTCAACTCTAATAATACCCACTGTTTTAGTCAATTTGAGTGGCTACAACAATACCAAACACCACAAATTGGGTAATTTAGAAACAACAGAAATTTATTTATCACAATTCTGGAGTCTGGGAAGTCCAAGATCAAGGAAAATTTGGGTGTGGTGAGAGCCCATTTCCTGGTTCATAAATGATGCCTTCTAGCCGTGTCCTCACATATCAGAAAGAACAAGGCAACTCTCTGATAACTCTTTCATAAAGGCATTATTCTCACTGATGAAGGCAGAGCCCCCATGAATTAATAACCTCCCAAATGGACCCAGCTTCTAATATCATCACCTTAGGTAATAGGATTTCAACATACAAATTTGTGGGAAGCAGGGAGGTGGGCAGCCACAAACATGCAGACCATAGCCCTCACCTTATATGACTGTTGTAAGAATTAAGTTTTGTTGTTGTTGTTGTTGTTGTTGTTGTGATGGAGTTTTGCTTTTGTTGCCCAGGCTGGAGTGCAATGGTGCGATTTCAGCTCACCGCAACCTCTGCCTCCCAGGTTCAAGCAATTCTCCAGCCTCAGCCTCCCGAATAGCTGGGATTACAGGCATGAGCCACCATGCCCCACAGTGCCCTGCTAATTTTGTATTTTTAGTAGAGATGGGGTTTCTCCATGTTGGTGAGGCTGGTCTCAAACTCCTGACCTCAGGTGGTCTACCCGCCTCAGCCTCCCAAAGTTCTGGGATTACAGGCATAAGCCACTGTGCCCAGCCAAGAATTAAGTCTTAAAACAAGTTTAAAACACTTTGCACAATACCTGTGGAAGAGCTAAATAAATGTTGATATCTTTGTCACCAGCAGTGTCATTGTTGTATTGTTGCTTGGTCTCATTTGACTCTCTGCAAGCCATATTTAGCCTCACTAAAGGAAGTTACATTTAAAAGTTTAAGCCATTGGCCCAACAACACAGAGCTTAAAGTACAAGAATTATAAGTGCAGAGTTGCCAATCTAAATTATCCTAACACCAAATTCAGTAATCTCTGTATTTTTTAAGAGGAATAAGTAAAACAGTTCTATGTTTGGACCCCAAGTTTATCATTAATTTCTGAACAATCTTTTAGTTGCATAAGTTAGTGAGTTAACTAGGAGATAATCTGAACCCTTTTGCTGTTCCAAGATTTTAGCAGCACCTAATTATTTTATAATCATATAACTTATGGCACAAAAATTGAAATAACTTTTTAAAAGAAGAAAAATAAACGTAATTTGGAAGTGGCACAATTCTTATGACATCCTTGCCTAAATTGATAACTGTAAAAGTCCCTCTCAATCCTCAAATTTGGTGATTCTGCATTAACCAAGTGTACCAGAAACTGTTCTCTTTACTTATTGAACTGTGTGTGTAACTCTCACACTTAATAGTAATGTAAGCTTTTACTTAAGCTCACATAATAAAAGATATTTCTCACTTTTTAGTGGGACATACCATCCAGGACTCAGATGCTGACAACTCTCTTGCAACTTTCCAGGCTTATTGGTTTCACTCTTTATCCTCTATATAACAAGTTAAACTTTGAAAATTATCTGAGTTTCACCCTTGCAGTATCGATCAGTGCTACTAGTCTAGCTCTTTCTAGTTTATTTTAACTAATAGTCTAATATCATTTTATACATTTGGAAAAAAATTTAGCCCAATAAAAAGCTAATGTTTCCCCTTTTCTTATTTTCTTCTTTATTTAAGAATGGTCTGGTATGCCTTTAGAATCAGGATACTAGAACACAGAGAACAATGCCCTCCTCACCATCTCCCACCCTTAAGACTTAGAATTAGACAAGACATTTGTATAAATCAGGTTCTCCAGAGAAACAGAGACAACAGGATATATATAGATATATAAGAGAAAATTTATTATGAGAATTGTTTTACATAGTTATGGAGACCAAAAAGTACCACAGCATACTGTCTGCAAGCTGCAGAATCAGAAAAGCCAGTGGTAGAATTTATTTCAAGTCCAAAGGCCTAAGAACCAGGAGCTCCAATGTCCAAGGGCAGAAGAAGGATATCCAAGGTCAAGAAGACAGAAAAATAATTTGCCCTTACTTTGCCTTTTTGTGCTATCTGAGCCCTCCATGGATTGGCTAATGCCTGTCCACATTGGAGAGAACAGATCTTTACTCAGTGTACTGATTCAAATGCTAATATTTTCCTGAAACACCATCATAAACACACCCAGAAATAATATAATAATGTTTTACCATCTATCTGGGCATCCCATAGCCTAGTCGAATCAAGTTGGCACATAAAGTTAACAAACACAACATTAAAGGCAAGAACCAAATTAATTTTTAATAATGTTCCATATGAATAATCGATCTTAACAGTTATTTCCTTAGTTCTTGGTAATTTTTCAGTTTAATCAGTTCAAACCATTGAATGTTCTATTTCTTCATAGGTTTTCCTAATACATACAAAGATTTTGGAGAATATGGAGGGGCCAATTTGTATATTTGTTACTTCCCATCTATCCTATGATACAAATAAAAATGCATACAGCAATCTAGTCTACTAAACCCTTGTATCAGTGACTAAGATGAATATGTAGAAGGTAGGCATAATTTAAGCTGCAGATGATACCAAGGAGGAAAAGCTAGTTTTTATGATGAAATGGAGAATCAGATTTAGAATGATTTCAACAGGTTAAAACAGCATATAAACACCAACAGGAAGAAATGTGAGGGGTGTCCATTTATTTTTTTATTCATCTAGCAAATATTTACAGAGCATACCTATATATTGTGTTATGTAGAGGATGAGTAGGGAAATACAAATAAGACATGCTTTCAACCTCAAAGAATGACAGTCGTGGACCTGCACCATACTTCCTTATTTTATACTTAAAGAATATTAGAACTAGAAAGCTTAAGTGATTTATCCAAAATATCACAGCAAGGCAGTGAGAGCCCAGAGCAAGCTAAAGTCGAGGGAAATCCCCACTATTCCACATAGTAGTTAAGCAATAGTTGCATACGTAAGAAGATATGGTATAAAAGAAGTACTTTAAAGGGTAATAACTAACAAGAAATGGTCTCCTCCATCTAACTTGCTTTTCTTCTTTATATCTTTGAAATGAGGTATAATTTAGAGTAACTGTCTGCAACACAAGGGAAAGTGGCCAAGGCAATATTGGCACAAGATTGCTGGGACGGCATCCCTTGGAGAAAATTCCATGAAGACATCATGAACAGTAGGTATTCAGGTCTCCTCTTGCCCATTTTTTTTTTCTGGGATTGTTTATGGAACCCTTGACTGCGGAATTTAAATGCACGATTATGGACATGTAAGCCCATCCCTGATATAATCAGGGCCAGGATACAATAGCACTGTAATAACAGAGAGTCCCAGGTCATTGGAAGAAACCAGGAAGCAATGATGCCTGTGATGGTCTTTTCTCATTCTCCATGTTGAGGTACAAATAATGATCCTGTTATACTTTTGCAACTAGATATCTCCAGGGCTATTCAAATTAATGGCCCTTCCTATTCTGCCTTAAGTAAACGTGAATTCCTCTGGAAGTACTTACTCAGCCATTTCTAACTGTCCTCCAGTGTCAACCACAGTGACACTGTGGCTAGTCACACAACTCTTATCGATTAAAATGATAGCTCATAATGCCTAGACGCTGCTTCTTAGTTTGGGGAGAAGAGGGAGAATTTAGAGGAAAGATTGTCTTGACTGATCCTCTGAAAGCTAGTCTCACATAAAAAGAGGTGATCTTTTGCAAAACTCCATGGGAATTGCCTACAGCCCAGTGATTAAGGCAATCAATCACAGTCAGCTGCAATGCGTGGCCCCCAGGTCGTTGAAAAAGCCAGGCAAGAGGCCCAACCTGAAACACATGCAGGTGACAGTAAGGCTGTAGCCAATGTCCTGCCAGGTCATATAGTTTTGTACCCCAGATTCAATCACACTAAAGAAGTGCTTGTCCCCTTTTAAATTTTTCAGTTTAAAAGTCCATAACCTAAGAGACAAGAATCTCTCTTTTGGAGTCTGATGAACAAATCTAATAGATCATTGTGCACTGTGCTAAAAAGAACGATTGTGGAAGGTGTGGAAGACATGCCCGCAAATCTGTTACTGATCCAGTACCACTGCATGTTCCAGAACACTACACCGGTAGGCCTTGTGTGAGTGCTATTTTGCAATTCATCCTTATTTGCACAACAGGCACATTACAATTTATTGTTAAAACAAGAACATTATTAAAGGTGAAAGAGAACATTATTACTATTTACATCTGAACAAGGAGATCGTCCCTGGAAAACCAGGACATATGGTCACCCTAGATACCTTGCCTTTCAGAGAAGAAAAATCAAGCAGTGAAATGCCTGGAATCCTGGAAATCATATAATATGAGTACATGAAGATATTCAGCATGAAGATAAGTCTGATTGAGGACCTCTGTGTGTGTTTGTGTGTGTGTGTGTGTGTGTATTTGTGTGCATTGGAGACCAAAAGAGGGCAACTTACTCAAATGGCAATCATGTGGCAAAGTGAAAAACTTTCTTCCCTCCTGTGCCAAAAATCAGAATTGTAATCAAGAAGCAGATTCAGGCTCAATGTAAGAAAGAGCTTTTCTTCAGAACTGCCCAACAACAGAAGAAGTTGCCTTGCCAGAGTACTTTCCTTATATTTTTGAATGCATTCAAGCTGAGGAAGAGTAGACACCTTTCATGGGTACAGTGAGATGTTTTCCGCAGTAACTGAGGAATTGTATACATAGTTCCTAAGACTCTTTGAAGATCAAAACAAATAGCTATTATCATGAAAATATATGATAACTTGTTGGTTTTGTAATACCAAGAATCTCATGCATTAGTAAATAGACTACATTTAAACCAAGGCAGACAGAGAAAATCTAACGCAGGAAAGAAAAATTAGAAAGTTTCCTGAGTGTGATGGGTCAACACAACAGGCCATGAAAGATAATAAAACTCCATGCCTGATTTGCATGCATGAAGGAAAATCATAGCAATAGATCATTAACAAGGATGTAATTAACTTGTATTACTTCAGCAATGTGAAAATCCAAAATTTCATTCAAAATTTATAGTTACTTATGTGGAATTAAAAGACTTAAACACTAATTGAAAAATGATGAAATTGTATTAACTCTTCAATCCTTTGACTAACTAGCATATTTCTTTATAATATTAATTCTTCTGAAATAGAGTTGAACTTTGGCTAAATTATGAAGGTGGTGAAATTTAGCTTTAAATAAACTTCACTTCCTCACTCCCTGCTTTCTCCTCCTTGAAGCAACTCTTCCTTATGTATAACTTCCTAGTGCTTATTGCCTCTCCTCTTTCCTGACTGTTTACTCTCAGGAAAGGGTAGAATCAAATCCGGTTTCCTGCGATTAAACGGACCAAAAAAGGTAATATGCTACCACCTACCAATGATTTTATATTTAAAAAGCATTTTTGATACCTTAATCTTAGCGTAATAAAATTCTAATAATGGAATTCCAGAAATCAGTCTTATAAACAGTTATTTGGAAGAGAATTCTTGACTTCTGAATTTATGCTATGTAGGAAGCTACCATTCTTCAAACTAGTTAATCCTGTCCTACATCTATCTACCCTTGTAAGACCAAAGAAAAATTTTGTTATGATCTTCATCTTTTAATAATAATAGTGGGTATCACTAATTTAAATTCCATGTGCTAAACACTGTACTAATTACACACATATATTATCTCATCCTGTAATCCTCACAACAATCATATAAATTGCATATAGCCGCAGAGCTAGAGATAAAGAAATTTTGGTGTAAAAAGATTGAGAAATTTGTATAAAACCATAAGAGCAAGTGATGTGGCTGGAACTTATGGCTAGGTCTATCAAATTTCCAAGCCTGGGCTTTCAACCCGGAGGTTCTATTCCACATTAGTATGCCAAAACTAACTCGACAAGTATTTCAAATGCACGTACTGAGAAAATGCAGAGAAATGAAAAACTGACCTTTCTTTGTAAGTTGTCCAGTGTCTTATATCTTGCTTTCTTCCATTGATGCCTATGCCTGTGGCAAATTTAATCAGAATTCATCCAGACATTTCAGGAACAATTAGAAACTATTAAGCTCTTCTCAGACTTCAATATCCAACAACCCCCTCATATTTTTTTTTCAAAAATACATGAGTTTAATGTCTCAATCTTCTTTTGATTAAATTATTTTAGGTAAAAGTGAATTCTTCCCTCTGGAAATTGAAATTTATGATTTCTTTCTTTCCCCAGATTCCTTTTAAACAGAAGTCTGTGTGATTTAACAGGAAAACAGAATCAATTATCTCCATATTAAGCCAGAGGGAAAGATAGCAGAGATGGAAAAGGAAAGGAAAAACTGCTGTCTCTTTGTGTTTCCCTTGCCCCCACCAAACTGATCAATATCGAATATTTAATCAAATTGTACAGTTAACTGTGCACAAAATGGTCCTCCACTTTATTGCCTGTTAATGAGGAGAAATTAGGGAAATGACTGCAGATTGGACAGCATGAAGTTAGTTCAAAGACAGATGCCTATGGGAGAGCAAGGAGACTTCCTAGTCAATCTAACAGTGAGCTTTAAGTCCACCTTATTATAATATAAGATTCATCCTGAATGAGCATAATATTTTGTTTCCTGTTAGGCAAGTTACTGAGAGGCACACACACTAAGCGTGCAAGGAGAGAAATTTGTGAGCATTATGGAGAGAAAAGCAGGCAAATCATTGAAACTCTGATTGATTCAATTGGGAGATGAGGATTGAGGAGGGTGGGTATGCACAATGCTTGTTAAGAAAAGATGGCAACAGCTCCGCTGTGTATGACCCAGCCCCTCCCACAGTCTATCATGACAATCTTAGATCCATTCAAAGGCAACAGTAAAATGTCCCAGAGATGTCTTCACTTGATCCTGGCTTCTTTAGGAGACTGTTGCCCTGTTTGGGAAGATTTCTCTGAGACAGGCAAACGTGTGAGAAGTCATGGAGGAGGCATTGACTACTATTCAGACTCTTAGTGTCCTGGATTGGGTTTGCAATGTTGATGAAAGTAACTCACTAGAGAATGAGAAACTGTTTTAAGAAAATCTGGAGAAATTCTTGCTGTCAGCCCTGCTGCTTTGAAAATCTCCCCTATTTCTTGTGTTGAAACAAAGTAAGAATTTAAGAGAAGCTACCTTGGTGAGGTGGCAGCAGATACCCCAGAGTAAGGTGGACTCCTTTATAAAAATTGTCTTGATGAGAATCAAGACCAAGTCAGACAAAGGATATAAACCTGGAAACCCCAAATAGAAACCAATGCAGCTCAAGGGTCTCCAAAGTAGAAATTGAGGGTGTTGGTTATGATGACCTTGCTGCTTCATACTGGGTTTTGATTGGATCAAAGACATTGGGGGTTCATTTGGTTTAGCCACACAAAGCTGCTGCACCACACGAAATGGAAAGTAAACATGACTTGCTTACTGGAGCCAAGTCATTGTCTCCCTGTGTGACCCCTGTCCTCTCTCCTCTAATCCAAACTTAACCACATTAAAGAGAAAGCCAACTAGGGGTAGGGCCAAGATCTCCCTGTCCTCAAGGGGCATACTGTGTTGTCAATTCAATGTTGTAGTTTTCACTGCTGAATGTATAATTGGCATTGATGTTTCACATGCTTGGACTCTGAATACTTATCTGGACTGTGTCTTCCTAGGGACATGCTAGGGAAATATCTAAGTGGCTTTCCAATCCAGCTCCCGGTTCCCTCCAAGCTATTCCAACAGAAACAGTATAGAATCCCAGGAGAAAAAAAGAGAAATTGCCACTCTGTGATTAAAGACTTAAAAGCAGCAAGGGTGGTAAAAAAATGCAACTGCCTATATGGCAAGTGAAAGTGCCAGCTGAATGTTAGAGTGGCATTATCACCAATTAAATCAGTATTTACTCCCATAGCTCCAACTGTTTCAGACATTGTGACTGAACCTAATCCATCGCACAGACTGACAGCACTTGGTATGCTGCCTTGGGCATTGACAATGCCTTATTTCTTAGCCACTGGCACCTGATTACCAAGACCAATTTGCATGTTTGCGGCCAGGCTTCCAGTGTTTTGCTAAGGCACTTAAACGCCACTGTTATTTGCCACCAATGAGGGGTTAGGGTTTAGCCCAAGAGCCTCTACCCCATGTTGTCTAAAGCCTTCACCCTGTAGTTGATGTCCTGTGGGTTGGCAAATCAGAACCCTCAGTCTGTATAGCCCTGACTGTCATGTTAGCAAAGCTCTATCAGTAGGGGTTGTAGATAAACTCCAACGAAATTCAGAGGAGGCAACTTCACCAAGGAAACTCTTGGAACCATGTGGGCAGGTTTACAGCACTTGATGTCTCCAGCAGTAAAGGAAAAACTATTGTCTCTTTACCTCTCCCCTTCTCCCACCAAAAACAAGACAGCACTTTACTATACTCCTGGATATTGAAGACAACATGTGCCTCGTGTTATCATTTTTATCTGCTAATCTGCAAATAATTACCCTTTGAATGGGGACCAACCAATAGGTTGAATTGAAGCCTGTACATCAAGTTGAAACACACTATCTACTTTCAGAGCCCCAAAACTATGCGTTCCTTGAGCTACAATTCTCTGTGACTGATGACTTTGCTGATTGGAGACTGGCAAAAGGCATCTAAACTATGGCAGCCTATCTTGTTAGCTTGCAAAATTTCAGGTTCTTCAGTTTATGACATCTAACTGGTCTTGAACCTCTCATTAGAAGTTTGTGAAAATATAACTCTACTGATTTCTAGTTTTGAAAAAGTATTGCTTTTATGGGTGGAACATTCCAGTACACCTTTTTTATTTCAAAGAAATATTAGCACATCCACTCAATTTAAGTAAAGTTCTCATCTAAGTCTTCTCTGGTAGTAATAAAAGTTTATATGTCAGAACAAATTTAGAAAGGTGGAGAAATAGATACTAAGAAGAATATGAAAGAATTTTCATATTATTCTAATTTAAAGAAAGCATTACTGAAGATAAATTATTGATAACGTTATATAAATTATCATTTTAATTAAAATGCATACTGGATAATTTAGTACATGAAGAAGGGATACTGGGGGCTTAAAATCCTTGAAAACACCAGAATTTGAAGCTATTAGTTGTCATATTATCCTTTGGGCCATCTATTAAATTCTCAGCTAAATAGTAAAACATATTAATAAAAGAGTAAAATATTGAAACACTTCATTTAGCATATAACTACAGATTATATTATAGAGTTGAAAGTACATAGAGTTATTTTAAATTCTGCATGGGACAGTGATGATGACTCAGATGAAACTCTATTTACAAACAGTAAAATTCACATTTTTGATGTACAGTTCTGTGAGTTTTTTACATATATTGATTCTTTAACCATCACCATAGAGAGGATGCAAAACAGTTTCAGCATTCAAGAAAGATCTCTTCTACTGCCACTTTTTTTTTCACAACCTCCTCAATCCTAAACCCTGGTAAACATAGTTCTGTTCTCTATTCCTTTTTTTCTGGAAGGTAGAGGGGGAACATTTCCAGAGTTTTATATGAATAAAATCATACAGTATATAATCTTGTAAGTTTCAGTTCTTGACCTTAGCATAATTCTTTGAAGATTCACCCAAGTTCTGGAGTGTATCAATAGTTCATCCTTGTCACTGGTACTAGTTCATCCTTGTCACTGGTACTACTATTTTATTATGTAGATGCACCACACTTTGTTTATCCATTCACCCACTGAAGGACATCTGTGATACTTCTGGTTTTAGATCATTAATAATGCTGCTATAAACATTTATGTGTAGGTTTTTGTGTGAACATGAACTTTCATTTCTCTGATATGCGTACCTAAAAGTGAGGTTACTGAGTTATATGAGTAATTTTTGTCATATTTTGGCACTTTTTCAAAAAGCTAAGCATAAGTATATATTCAGCTATTTAAAAAAATGCCAAAATATTTTCCAGAATGGCAGTACCATTTTGCATTCCTATCAGCAATGTATGAGAGTTCCCTTTGCTCTGCATCCTCATCAACACTGGGTATTATGGGTATTTTTAAACTTAGCCAAGTAAATAGCTGTGAAATGCTATCTCCTGGTGGTTTTAATTTTCAGTTCCCTAATGACTAATTATGAAAAATATCTTTTCACCTGCTTATTTCTCATTTGTGTATCATTTTTAGTGAAGTGACTGTTTAAATCTATTCCCCATTTTTTTCAAATTGAGTTGTTTATTTTCTAATTTTTGATTTCTGAGAGTTCTTTACCTATTCTGATACAAATTGTTTGGCTATTAATATCATAAGTATTCTAATGTTCAGCGTACAGATTCTGTACATCTTTTGTTATATTTATCTCATTACATTACATTATTACATTTGCAAACTGTCATAAATATTACTGCTTTTTAAAAAAAAATCTCAATTTCCAACTGTTCATTGCTAGTGTATAAAAATAAAATAGAATTTTGTCTATTGCTTTTGTATACAGCAACCTTGCTAAACCCTATTATTAATTCTTGTAGTTTTTTAATAGATTTCTTGAGATTTTTCTATACAGACAATCATGTCATTGCAAGATAGAATAGTTATATATTTTTCTTTCTAATCATTTAGAAAGAAAATAATCAAAAGGAAAATGTCTTTTATTTCACTTTCTAGACATAACTGCATTTGCTAGATTTCTAAGAAAATATTGAACAGGACTGGTAAGAGCAGACATCATTACCTAGTTTCTGATTTTAGGGAGAAAACAGTCTTTGACCATTAAGTACAATGTTAGCTGTAGGATTCTCACAGATGTCCATTAACAGATTGCAGATGTTGCCTTCTATTCCAAGTGGGCTGAGAGTTTTGTCACCAATTGGATGTTTAATTTTGTCAAATGCTTTATCTGCAACTATTGATATGATCATGTATTCATTTTGTTGTTAATGTGATTACAAGCATTGATTAATTTTAGAGTATTAAATAATCTGGTGTTTCTAATATCTTAAGATTTTCCCAGGATAAAGTTCACATGGTCATAATTATTATTCTTTTTATATATTGCTGGATTTGACTCACTAATACTTTGTTGAATATTTTTCTATTAGTGTTCAAGAGGAATATTGATCTGTAGCTTTTGTTTCCTGTGCTATCTTTGATATTAGAATAATATTGGTGCCACAAAGTGAGGTAAAAAATGTTTTCTCCTTTTCTAACTCTAAGAGAGATTGTGAAGAATTGATGTTATTTCTTCCTTAAATATTTAGTAGAGTTCACCAGTGAAACCATTTAGCTTGGAAATAATTTTTTGAAGGCTTTTACCTATGAAATATGTTTTACAATAGCTATAGGAAGACATATTATCTATCTTTTTAATTCAGCTTTGATATCTGCATCTCCAAAGAAATTGGTCTATTTTATCTAAGCTGTAGATTTATGTGCATAAAGTTGATCATAATTTCCTCTATCATTTTCTAACCTATTTGGATTCATGATAATATTCCCTCTTTCATTCTTGATGTTGATCATTCGTGTTTTCTCATATTTTCTTGGTCAATCTCACCAAAGGTTTGTCAATTTTATTAATTTTCTAAAAAAGAACCAGCTTTTGGTTATATTGATTTTATGTTTTCAATTTTATTGATTTCTGCTTTTTTATTTTATCTTTTTCTGCATTGTGCTAGGCAGAAGCTTAAATTGTTGATTTGAGACATTTCTTCTTTTCTCATATAAATTTTTAATGCTATAAGTTTCACTCTATGCACTGCTTTACCTGACTCACATAAATTTTGATTGGTTATATTTTCAGTTTTATTCTGTTCAAAATTATTTCTACTTTCCCTTGAGATTTCCACTTTGACCCATTGATAAGTAGTAATGTTTTATTTAATTTTTTAATATGTGGGGGTTTTCCAGATATAATTCTGTTACTGTTTTCTAGTTTAATTTGTTATAAGCAGAAAGCATACTTTCAATAATTTTAATTATTTTAAATTTAATGAGGTTTGCTTTGTAACTCATAATATGGACCATCTTAGTGGTGAATGTTCCATCTGTGTTTGAAAACAATATATTCTGCTATTGTGAGGTGGAGTGTCCCATAAATGTTAATTAGGTAAAGCTGGCTGGTAGTGTCATTTAAGTCTTCCATATACACTTTGAGTTTTTTGTTTGTGTTTTATTCAACTTTCTCTTCTCCTTTTATGTCCTGAATTTTAGACCTGTTGATATTGTCCCACAGATACCTAAGGCTCTGTTTCTCTCTCTCTCCCCAACCCTCTGGCTCCCTCCCTTCCTTCTTCAGTTCCTCTCATTGTGTAGACTGAATACTTTCTATTGCTATACCTTCAAGTTCACTAATTGCTTCCTCTCACATCTATTTTCTGCTATTGAGCCCTTCTAGTGATGTTTTAAATTTTTATTATTCTAGTTTTCTGTTCTAAAATTTTGTTTGAGTCTTTTTTTTTTTTTTTTGGTATAGCTTCTATTTCTTTGCTGAAAATTCTATCTTTCCATTGTTTTTAAGAATGTTTGCCCTTACTTGTTGGAGCACAGTTAAATAACTACTTCAGAGGTTTATTTCCTGATAATTCCAACCTTTGAGTCCTCTTGTAGTTGGTGTCTGTTAACTTTCTTTTGCCTGTTAGTTGTTCATATTTTTCTAATTCTTTGTATATGGAATAGTTGGGGCTGTATCTGGGACATTTCAAATATTATATCCTGAGGCACTAGATCCTATTTAAATCTTCTGTGGAACATTAATTTTTCGTTTTGTTTAACAGGCAGTAAATACATATCCTGGCCCATATTCTGTGGTTTATCTTTCCCATATCAATTTAATTTTCAAAGAATCTGCAATTATAACTGGTTTGCCCAGTGTGTGAGCCACTCAGAGTTCAAACTGAAACCTGGACATTGGTCTTCACTGAAGTTCAGTTTTCAAAGTTTTTGTTGAGCTGATTCCATTTAGTTTCATGCCTGAACAACTTGGGGGTTGTCGAAGACTTTAAATGCAGATTTAAATGGTCACTTTCTTTGGCTACTTGTTTTCTATTATCATTTCCCTGACTTTGGTTACCAGGGTTTCCCTTTCCAGGTGTTCTTACTAGAAATACGGAAAGTTAGCCTCCCCACACTGATGCCAGTGTTCTGCCCTTTATAAGGCCTCTTCCACACCAATGAGGAGGTGGAGCGGGTCCATCTTTTTACTGGCATTCTGAAGGGCTATAAGGCTGGGCAATTTTACAGGACCCAACCCTACAGTGTTTGCTGCTGCGATGATAGTGGGAAGTGAGGAGGTCCTACCTCTTTGTTGCCACTTTCTTGGTGTAAGGCAAGGAGAGTTCACGGGGCTCCTCTCCTCAGGATTTGCCGCAGCATGCTGGTGGGGAAGGAAGGGTGTTAAAAAATAAAATGAATAAAAAATAAACAGGAAACTCACTGCAAGATCATTCCTCCAGTTCTAAGTTCTGTACCTAGTCCACTTGCTTTTATCTACCTTTAATTCTTATGTTAGTTGCTTAATGTATTTTTTTTCCTGAGGCTTTACTCCATTGTGTCTAGAATCAAAAGTCCCTTTTTATAAAATTCCTAAACTGTGGATAACAAAGAGAAAAGAAAGGAAAACTATAAAATAGGAGTATGTGTACCAAGAAGAATAAATGATAGAATATGTTTGGCAAACTAAAACACTAAAAATAAAGTGTTAGAGAACAGGGAGGGGAACTTTTTGCCAGTCTTTAGATATCCTTCCTCGTAACACTTCTCTCTTCACTCTAACCTACCGTTCCCTAAGGAATTAGGAGTGACTTAAAAAGTGATATGGTTTGGCTGTGCCCCCATCCAAATCTCATCTTGAATTGTAGCTCCCACAATTCCCATGTGTTGTGGGAGGGACCCAGTGGGAAGTAATTGAATCATGGGAGCAGGTCTTCCCTGTGCTGTTCTCATAACACTGAATAAGTCTCATGAGATCTGATGGTTTTATAAAGGGGAGTTTTCCTGAGCAAGCTCTCTTCTCTTGTCTGCCACCATGTGAGACCTACTTATCACCTTCTGCCATGATTGTGAGGCCTCCCCAGCCACGTGGAACTGTGAGTCCATTAAACCTCTTCTTTTGTAAATTGCCCAGTCTCAGGTATGTCTTTATCAGCAGCATGAAAACTGACTAATACAGGTAAGTATTATTATTATCTATAATTGACAAAAAAGGAAAATGATGACCAGAGAGAATAAGTGACTTGTCAATGGTCAGATAGCTAGTGACAGATCTGTGATTGAAACTCCTGTACTTAGCTCTGGAGTCTGTGGCTATATTGAACACACTAGGTCACCTCTCAAAACAGATCTTACATAGCCTTCCCAATAACTTGTTCATATGTCACTTGGCCCTAGGCTTACGGTCAGCAACCCCATCTCTTTGTCTTCCCATCATGTATACCTTAAAATGTGGCCTGATCACATCAATTATACCATCTTTTTTTCATGCTTCAAACAATCAGGGCTATCCAACCGAAGCTAGCACTCTCTTCACAAACTGTTAGTCTCCACCCAAAGGATTGGCCTAGCTATTTTGCACCGTTATCAGGTTTGCTACAAGCCTATTAAAAATCCTTTGTCTTCAGTTCTTGCCAATTAATAGGATAGTGATTTGAGGGCAAATAGCCAGTTGGAAGGGAATATTAATGTGTATGTTTAATGCAGTGGTGGAGAAGTTATGGCACTTTAAATATAACATCTTGCATCTTTCTCTTTTAAAAAAATTATTCTTTAAGTTCTGGGATACATGTGCAGAACATGCAGGTTTGTGACACAGGTATACATGTGCCATGGTGGTTAGCTGCGCCCATCCACCCACCATCTACATTAGGTATTTCTCCTAATGCTATCCCTCCCCTTGCCCCTCACCCCCTGACAGGCCCCTGTGTGTGATGTTCCCCTCCCTGTGCCCATATGTTCTCATTGTTTAGCTCCCACTTATGAGTGAGAACATGCGAACACCTTGCATCTTTCAATACTGTTTCTCTTGGCTTAAATATCTGTCCATGTACAAATTTTGTGTATTACAGACAGCTGTGATTTTTTTCACCTGCCACCAAAGCCAAAAGAAAGGTGTAAGAGGTTAAAATGAAGCCATTAATAGAAGTAACCCAATCCTAATAATTTGGTCCTTTCATAAATTAAACATGTGAGAGCTAAATACATTTTGAATATCTCTTAGAGGAATTATGGACAAAGTAAAAAGCAAAATAATCTGGAAGCAAAATCTAGAAAAAAGTACTTCATGTGGACCATAGACTTCAGATAAGTGCTGACATTTTAAAGAAATTAATGTCCTATCATGCAAGTCCCACAGTATCCTATCATAGTGTGTGTATGTTGTCTGTTCCAATAGTTCTCAGACTTTGTTGTACATCATAACACATTTAGGGAGTAGGGCAAAGAATATTGTTAAAAATACTGGTTCTTGAAGCCTAGCCGAGATATACTGAATAAAATTCTTTGTGGGTGGAACTCAAGCAAAAATATTTTTAAGAAGCTTCCCCAGTGATTCCAATGCTCACAAAGTTTGAGAAACATTGACTGTATACTTGACTTTCAGGGCTGAGAAATCCTGGAATAGATAAATGTTAAAGAAATTTCAATTAATTAATCTTTATAACATCTCTACTCCAACACTGGACTCTTATTCATATTAACATCGTGTTGATTTTCTACTACTTAAATATTCCTTTGTAGAAAAGTATAGTGTTGGTCCCCTAAAATAAAAGTGTTTTCTCACATTCCTTCCTAGAAAAAAAAAGCATTTAAAATTATGATTCAAAGAGTCTAGTTCTGTCTGATATAGATAAATGTACAACTCTTTTTTTTTTTTTAGTGTGTGATATTCCAATCAGATATGCCTTTGTCTTTCCTACCAGTTATAAAATCACAACCTATCTTGCTGATTTATTTTCTGGAATGTGGGTCTCTCTCTCTCTCTCTCTCTCTCTCTCTCTGTGTGTACAAAGTTTTAAAATGTTTTATATTATATATATATAAAACATGTATGTATGTATATACATATGTATATATATTTTAAAATATTGGCAGCTAGACAATTAAAAAGCTTTTCCTATCATGTAGCCTTTTGGCTTTTTACATATCATCTGCTAAACCTCAATCAGCAAATGGACAAAAAAAATTGTATTAAAATCATTGGAGAAATGCTGAAATATGTCATGTGCAATTGCTACAAAACATCTTTAATAGTTCTATTAATACTTGTCAATCACCAAGTGTCCTTGACATTCATGGATTTTAAATATTATTTTCAGTTCCTTGTTGAAGTCTTTTTTCAATACCTTCAGTATCTTCTACATAACTGCACATTTTCCATACTAATATCAAAATTCCTTTCCATTTGATTTGTCATCATATCCCTTCAAATGCTTAAGATGCCACTACAATTCACAAAATATTCAAATTCTAAATTTTCCTGTCAATCGTTGAATCAAAACACTCTCCTGAATGCTTTTTGGATAATTTTATTGTATGTTTATTTCTGCCAGGCAAACCATTTCAGAATGCCTAACAATAAATTACTACCTGTCTAAAGAAGTCATGCTGTTTGAAGAGTTTTCTAAGTCTAAGTCCTTAAAGCAAAATGTAACAGGTTCATTTAACATTTCTTCTGAAAGAAGAGAAACATATACACTGCAAAACTAAACTGTTTATGTGGTCTATGTCATATTAGTGTTTCAAGACATCTTAGAATGACTTTTCTGAAAGCAAAGGTAGTCATTTGAACACACAAATGGAACTTGGAATAGAAAAAGAATTAAACTTGAAGAAGAGAGAACACCGAGCTTCAAAATAACTCCTTTTGGAACATGCTTCCAAACACAATGTTAAGTGCATGCAATCAGTTACAGGTCATAGGTTAAAGAACTTGTGTAACTCACAAAAGTGTACAGTTTTCAACCTTATGGACTGTCATCACTGAAGGAGATGAAATAAAAACTCCAAGTTTGTTTTCAATTTCTGCCTAGTGTCAGGGAGAGTAACCTTGGCAGCAAACGCAGTCGCACAATTTCTATGCCCCAGTAGCCTCAGAAGGTGTTGAAATTTAGGTTCTGTGATCAAGGCAATGCCTTTAATCCTGTACATGAAGTTGTCTAGACTCAATAAATTATCAGATACAAATCAGTAAATGGTAAGAAAGCTTAAATGACTTGACAGTCATGTGATCCTGTTTCTGCCTCAGCTCTCCTAGGTAAATGCACCCACAGCTCCATTCTAAGAAGTGCCCAGATAAAGAGATAAAAATCCTTCTTTCATGTGTGTTCCTAATTCTTCAGGTCTAGCATTTTCCCTTGAACTACCAGAGATTTCCCATCCTGACAACAGTGGTCAGATACAGAGTACACATGACTTTCGCAAATGCATCATCATTTAACTACCCTGGTTCTTCATCAGGAATCTAAATGATTAAACAAAAGAAAATTACTGAAGCATATTAGATCAGTTAATACAACGGTGGAAAACAAATGACAAGAATACTTCTCGGAGGTCAGTAAAGTGAGAGATCAAACATGATTAATTTTTTCTTCTGCCAGGGCAGATTCTGTCTGCCAGGTTAACATTCCATAAGAAAGAGAAAAACATTGTCATGTTCAATTATAACTTGCCTTTGATAGTCTTCTTGGCATGGAAGAAAGCAAGCTGAAAGTGACAAATATATTTCGAGGAAGAAAATGTATTGTTTATGGTCTCTTTCCTGCTCCAAATCCTAGACAGAAAAAGAATATGGCTTTTGGGGAAGCTATCACTTGTGTGCTATTGCCTCATTATACAAGTCAATAGCAGTGCACTTGTGAATAAAACAGATGCAGGCAGAGACTAGGAAAAGCCACCTGGGCCAGCTGGTATAGATTTTAGCAAACTGATTTTGCTGGGTTTCCACACAAAGTCCTAAAATAGATCCTTTAAAAGCCCATTTAAATGGCTCTCCTCTGGCAGAAGGGTCAAAACTTCTGGCATTTGATTTGCTGATCACTGTTTTTGGCTGAGCTCTAATAGGCCTTGAAGGAATACTACAGTCATTATTTATATTTCACCTGCAAGAGCTAAATAAATATTTACTAACCAAGAATGTTGATACATACTTTAGAAATACATTTACCTACGATTTTCCTGTCTACTTTCAATTTGGTGGGTCAGATTCCTGTCATAAGATTTTAATGAGCCTCCAGTCATCATGGAAAATGTTGTTTAGTCACAGAAAGGGAAAAGCTAGATTTAGCAATGTGCACTCTATGATGTCTCAAAAGAGCCATGGCTGAAGGTCCTTGGCTGTTTATAATATTCCCTTACACTGACATCAGGAGGGCGAGGGAGCTTCCTAACTTCAGTTTTTAAATTGTTTACCCTCAGCTCTTCGGGTTAAATTATCTGTCGGCGAATGTCCCATCCCTTTGTTCTATTCGTGGCACCTTTTATATCTAGTTGGAATCTCCACAGACATATTTCCTCCCTTAGAATGTGCTTCTTTCTGAAAAGATTTCCTACATACCACAATAGTCTGGTCACTTTTGGGAACTCAGAGGTGACTGAATTAAAAATTCCTTTAAATAGTGTCCAAAAATGTAGAGCTTACTGTGGCAGATTGTATTATCCAAGACAGCCACAAGATCTCCCATCCCACGTGCTCTTCTAACAATGTGACGGATATGGTTTGGCTCTGTGTCCCTACCCAAATCTCATCTTGAACTGTACTTCCATAATTCCCACATGTTGTGGGAGGGGCCTGTTGGGGGATAATTTGAATCATGGGGGCAGTTTCCCCCATACTGTTCTCCTGGTAGTAAATAAGTTTCATGAGATCTGATGGTTTTATCAGGGGTTTCCGCTTTTGCATCCCTCTCATTTTTTCTCTTGCTGCCACCATGTTAGAAGTGCCTTTCACCTGCTGCCATAATTCTGAGGCCTCCCCAGCTATGTGGAACTGTTAAGTCCAATTAAACTTCTTTTTCTTCCCAGTCTCGGGTATGTCTTTATCAGCAGTGTGAAAATGGACTAATACAGTGACACAGACAGTCATCCCATAGAGATAAAGGCTGGAGTGAGAGGGGAGAGGTTCCCCTTGAAGGTGGGTGGCCTGTGACTATAGCAGAATTGAGTCTAGGTGCTTTCGAAGACTAGATCATAAAGTCTAGCTTACACCTGTTTCTCTTGGGAAGCTCGTCCTTGGAACACTGCCACCATGCTGTGAGAGGAAGCCAAGCAGTCTGTGGAGGCCCATGTAGACACGAACTGAGGCCCCTGGCCTACAGCCCAGCTTTGCTCCCAGCCAACAGCAAGCACTAACTTGCCAATTATGTGACTGTGCCATCTCGAAAGTGAAACCTGCAGTCAAAATTCTAGCCACCTTAGCTGATGCTACATGGAGCACAGATAGTCTTTTCAACCAAATTGAAGAGTCATATGTTAAATAAATGATTGTCATGGTTTTAAGCTACTAAATTTTCAGGTGGATTGCTATGTAGCACTTAACCAAAAATTAATAAATTGATATTTTAACTGTGATGTATTTTCATATTTGTGCCTGTGCATGTCTGTCTGTCTGTGTGTGCACCTGTGTGCATTTTAAAGCAAAGTACTGAGAGGACTAAAAAGGGGAATGCATTACTTCTTCTTAATCACTGAATATAGCGGTTCTGAATCTATTTTCTAAAATCAGCCCAATGCTGATCTCATCCAATCCCATTTAACTGATGAGTAATTCATAGTCAGTCTCTTTGTGGGGTCCCCCCCAGTGTGCCACAGAGTTGTCTTCAATGCCAAAGACTGTAAAAGGTATCTTTGGATGAAATAAATTGTTGTTTCTATGAGTGGTACATCTAATTATATATATACTGGAATTATTTTCGTCACTGAATCATTTACTCATTCACTTAACAGACATTTGCTGAAATGTTATTATGTACTTATTGTGGTTGACACTATGCTAAGCACTGAGTATGAATAGGTGAGTTGGACTCCTTCACAACTAGGTATTAAGAACATGCCCCATAAGGCCCGGTGTGGTGGCTCATGCCTATAATCTTAGCACTTTGGGAGGCTAAGGCAGGCAGATCACTTGAGCCCAGGAGTTTGAGACCAGCCTGGGCAACACGGTGAGACATGATCTCTACAAAAAATAGAAAAATTAGTCCCAGCTACATGTGAGGCCGAGGTGGGAAGATCACCTGAGCCTGGGGAGGTCGAGGCTGCAGTGACCCAAAATTGCACTACTACATGCCAGCCTGGGAGATAGAGTGACACCCAATCTCAAAAAAACAACCACAACAACAACAACAAAAATGCCCTATGGTCATGAAATAACTGGGGTTCTGCTTACTAAGATAACTTATGTTTTACCACATAGGATCCCTTTAGGTTTGGTGATTCTACCATCTCTGAGCCATGTTCAGAATATTTAGTGACTCTGGGAGCCCCTACATTTAGGGTCAGACTTCTCATGTACTTCATGCAATCTTCCCCTTGGAGACCTTACAACCTCTCCTCACACAAATAAGTATTTAAAAAAAAAATCTTGCCCATATGATGTTAACAGATGAATATTTGTTGAGCTTACACTCTTTATGCTACTCTCCATTCTAAGTTTTTAAAATGTATTATTATCTCATTTAATTCTCACCAAAGCCCTGTAAGATAGGTATAATTATTCCTACTTCTCAGACGAGCAAACTAAAGTATGGAAAAAGTAATTCTGTTTAAGGTAGTTATTAAGTGATAAAGCCAGGAATTAGACCCAGAAACTATCCGCAGATGCAGTCTCAAATACTAAGCTATACTGCTCTGTTGTCTTAAGGAAAAATAAATATTTGAAACTTTCCAACAAATGTATCACATTTAATTTTTATGTTTAATTTGACCAATGTAAAATGTAAAACCATAAGTCAAGAGATCATAATTTTCCACATTCTTAAAAATGCAAAATACTATGTGCTTATACATAAGGGTTTTTTTTTTTTGTAATTGTTCCTTTAGTTTTATCCATCATTCTTACAAAAATAAATTAGTTACAAGCAAGTGGTAAAAAAGAGGCAATCATCTAGGTCACATACAGTGACAGGCAGCTAACCAAACAACATATTCCTAGAGGTCAGTATTGAATCTAAGTCTATGCCCTTGCACATCTCTCCTACACTCGTTCCTTCTTGAGCTTACTAACTTGGGCAATGTTATCTTCTTAGAGAAGATTGAGAATCTACAGTAGCTCCTTTTCACCTATAAAATCAAAGCCAAGTACAGAATTCAAGTATCAAATTCAACTGGCCCCTAACTTATTTCTCATTATTCCCATTACACATTTTTACGCTATTCCATGTCTCCAATATATGACAGAAATTGCTGCATCTGTACATAACGTTCTTCATCTACATCATTTGCTTTCATGTCCTTCAATATTGCCCACCCTATTTTCCTTTGGAAGGGACCTCTCCACCAAAAACACTTCATGGCCAGCACCCCACAGACCTTTCTCTTGTTCAGATAAAAGTCCTGGGCCCTCTCGTTATTCCAGCCTTTGTGAATGCCTTTAAACCATTTCTGGCTTTGTTCAGACCCTAACTTTCTAGCTCTCTCTTCTTCTGTTCCTGACCCATCTTTTGGACTGCCTACACTTAGGCATAATGACCTGTCCATAAGGGTTTCACAATTTCTATCAGCTTTATGTCCTGGATCTGGTTCACAATTGTGCTTTGGTTTGACCAGCCTCCAAAATGACTCTACCCAGTAAAGTGGTTTTAACCTCTTTGCATGTGGGATTGGATAAATCTAGACCATATTCTTTTCCTTCAAGGTCCAGCTCGTAAGTCACCTATTCAGAGAAGCCATCCCATGTATTCTACCTTGCAATAATCCTTCCTTTACAAGGCATCCCATCGGTTCTTACTTACTCACATTGTATAACATTCTCTTGAGCTCCTTTGGATACTTTTGCTGTTGTTCAGTGGTCATTATATAAGTGCTTGTATTATTTTCTCTGAACACACAGAATATTATTTAACAGCACACACAGGTTCTTCTACTTTTTATTTATGCTTACTTTCCTTGACTTTGAGATAAAATAGCTTCAGTTTAGGCACAGATGTTCCATACATGCCTATCGAGTGGAACAAAATAAAATTTCAGATCATAAAACTTTAATGGTCCCTTACATAGTCAGTCTTGGTGTAAAATTCAACAGGTGGACAGAAGAAATGGAAAAGGGGAATATTAGAATATAGGAGAGCTTTTCCAATGAAAATTTCTTCAAAATTCTAATATATCTGAGAGGTCTTTCTATCCTCATTTCATTAATAATCATTGCCATACTTAAGTGTTGCTATTGATAGAATAGCTCCTATCATTCAAGATGATTGAAGCAGAAAAAAAAACCACTACATTATGACAGCCATTGAATAAACTGTCTTTACAATTAATGCTTTTTAGAAAATAATAGTGACGGCCAGCTGCGGTGGCTCACGCCTGTAATCCCAGCACTTTGGGAGGCCGAGGTGGGTGGATCACAAGGTCAGGAAATCGAGACCATCCTGGCTAACACGGTGAAAGACCGTCTCTACTAAAAATACAAAAACATTAGCAGGTCGTGGTGGCCAGCGCCTGTAGTCCCAACTACTCCGGAGGCTGAGGCAGGAGAATGGCGTGAACCCGGGAGGCTTAGCTTGCAGTGAGCAGAGATTGAGCCACTGCACTCCAGCCTGGGCGACAGAGGGAGACTCCGTCTCAAAAAAAAAGGCCGGGCACGGTGGCTCACGCCTGTAATCCCAACACTTTGGGAGTCCGAGGCAGGTGGATCACGAGGTCAGGAGATCGAGACCATCCTGGCTAACATGGTGAAACCCCGTCTCTACTGAAAAACACAAAAAATTAGCCGGACGTGGCGGCGGGCGCCTGTAGTCCCAGTCACTCGGGAGGCTGAGGCAGGAGAATGGCGTGAACCCGGGAGGCGGAGCTTGCAGTGAGCAGAGATTGCACCACTGCACTCCAGCCTGGGCGACAGAGCGAGACTCAGTCTCAAAAAAATAAAAGAAAAAAAAAAGTTTTAAAAAAGATGTTGCATAAATCACAGCAGTTTAGGACCAGATGAGTGTCTGTGCAGCTCTACAAATCAAAGACAAAGGCCCAACTAATATCGATTTCACAGGTTGCAACAATAAAGGGTTTTTGGCTTGTGTAATTCTGGGGTCAAAAATTTTTCTAGATACACACAAATTGGGAATAAACACATATTAAATCTATGTGCTTGCACATTATTCCCCCCAGATATAAATTTCCTTTCCTTTCAAATAAGAATTTACATGAGTAGCTTACACTCCTGTAGCATTTAGTGGAGTTAATGTTTTGTTTTACAGGAATTCAATAGACATTATAATGGCAAAAGCTTTCTGCTATAAAATAGCCACTAGTCTCTTTCAGAGATATTATCTCATACAATCCTCAGAAAAACCACCTGATAGGTTAATACTCTCCTTTTTTTAGATGAGGAAACCAGAGATAAATGAGTTTAAATAAATAGCCAAAGTTACAGAGTAGTAAATGGCAAAACTAGGAGCTAATATATGTCTTTTAAGTCCAGACTTAGGTAGATATTTCACAAGTACTTATTATGTAATTACAAAATATTTAGAATTAGATATGTTATAAAATTAGATATAGACCTTTACTTCATAAATTTAACTTTAAAATGAGACTACATTTTAAATTAAAGTGAATGGTAGCTTTTAGAGAAGAGGTTAGGTGATTACTATTTTATTTTTTAATCTATTATTGTTTGTATATAAATTTTAGCCAGATATTATTTTTGAGCATCACTGTTCAAGAAGAAGTTTTGGTACTACATGCTGGTTGAAATGTGTGTGTGTTTTTAAAAACTTTTCAAGGATTTTAATTCTTTCTTCCAAATAAAAGGAGAAGTATAAAGAAATATTTCTCACAGCAGTTATTAAAAATCTCAGTTGCTGTTTCATCACTCTTCTGTGAATGGATCTATTGTGTCATCCACCAGAAGAGTTACCATCATAAGGACCCAATACTGAGTACTTTCACAAGCATTCTAGAATCAGAATGGTGATTACAACTAGAAAGTAAGTCAAGTTCATGTTAGAAATAATTTGTAATAGAATCACAGAATGTTGAATTCATTTAAAATTATGCAATTTGTGTAAAGAACTTTGTCATCTGTTTTGAAGTTTATCTTTTTATGTAGAGTATTAAAACTCCTATTAAAATAGCCATCGTGGCCCTCTCACTAACTGCAGGACTAACTCTAAGGCGCAAAGTGTTGTGGGATGGGAGAACCAAGGATCAGAGTCAAAGCCCTTCTCTAGATGAGCACTGTGAACCGGGAGGGTGATAACTATATCTGTGCCTGAGACAGTCTATCACGAAGGTTCCAGGCTGGGGGCAGTGCTGTAATTCTTTATAGCTGTCAGAAAATAGCTCAAGAAATCTACACCAATCTGCTCTCCCACATACAACAGCTCTTGTCCTCGTGTCTTGAATCTGCAAAAATGAAGAATCAAATCCCTTGATCACACAGCCAAGTGGTTTGAGTCTTCCAGTTCTGTTGTTCTTTTCTTCTGTCTTGAAAAAGGCCTTGTCAAATCAGAATGAAAAGAATGTTTTGAAGCGTGAGAAAATTCAAATTTCCTATGTAAAGCCTGGAGTTCATTAGCCGGAGTATACGTACTTATTTCAAGGGTCACTGGGTTATGGTGAAGAGCCTGTCTTTCTGCTAGCCAAGTCTCAAACTCTTCACCTGAAAACAGTTTAGAAATGCCTTTAAGCCTATTAGCTTTCTATGGAGCCTAATTCGTCTTTGTTGTGCCTTGTCTTGTGACCGTGTCAAGTCAAGGACCCTGCTTTGATTATGTGCTATCCTTTTTTTCTTAATCACTTTTCAGTTAAGTAATTGTCTCAGTTTAATTGGTTGTAATGATTAAAAGTTTATTTACATTACACTGAAGTTTTCTTTAATCAATCACTTAGGTTCTAACTATGTTATTATTTACAGCTCAATAAAGAAATTTTACCCAAAGAAATAGTCTTTTTAATTGGACTTTTTTTATTAGACTATTTTTATTGTATATGTGCTAAAGCTAAAATCTAAATTTTGGCAAATAAGAGAAATTATTTATTCTTAATATTACAGTTAGACTTGTAACAGGCATTTTATATTATAATACTGAGAGGTACAATGTAATAAGTATTGGCTTCAGAGACTAACAGACCTAGGTTTGGATTCTGCATCAGGACTTGCCAGTCCTGGGACCTTTCTGAACTTAAACTATCGTACCAACCCTATGCAGATTGCCTGAAGATTACTGATGTGTGAATAAGTATAATATTTAATCTAATGGTAGCTATTATTTGTTTCAGCTTTGTCACTAACCAGCTATGTCACTTTGAGAGAGCTATTCAATTTCTCTGTTCAGATTCCTCTGATAAATAAGAGGAAAGGACTAGATACTTTCTACTATTTCTGTCAAAATTCAGGTAATAAGTAAACCCTTTTTATTGGTTTATTTGGGGGGTATAATTTTACATTAGCCAGGGTTTTTTCATGTTAAAATTTTCCCAGGGAGTAGTAAAGGCATTAGTTGGAATTTGGACACTAATATGAGAATAAGTTGACAAAAACAAAATGGTCCTAGGAAATGTTTCGATATTGAATGTTGGGACAAGAACCCAGAGCAAAAAAATCACATTTACAAGACAAAACCACAAAACTAATAGTCCAATAATTTGGTTTAAAAACTTGTATTATAATTCTTTATCAGACTAAACGAGTGATCTTAGAAAAATTGCTGGAAAATATTTATTGACCTGTTTAATCTTAGCTTAATCAACCTGTAGCAATAAGTACAGCAACATCTGATACCTACCTAGTTCTCTAGGTTCCCATGGGGATAAAAAAGAGAACTAAATACATTAAATATGATCACCTCTATACTGTCAATTATGTCTGTCTATAATACATGTGCAAAACTGTCTATCTGCTTTGCAGGGGAAACAATTTTTTTAAATGACTCATAAAGCTCTATCTCTCATCAATAGTAGCAAGTTTTATTTTTAAATTTGTTTTTACTTTGAAACAGCTATACTATTTTTCTAAGTATATTTTTCAAAAGCAGCTTTATTAAGTCATAAATCATGTTTAACAATTCAAACCATAAAGATAGCAACACAAAATTTGAAACATAGAAATATGCACTTTCCCATTTACAAATTGCATCAGAGGAGATACAAACACCTTTTCTCTTGTTTGTGAGTAAACGGTCAAGACACAGAGCAGAAAAATTTCAAAACTAAGTGCTTATATAGATCTTTCCTTATTTGAAACCTATGTACCAAATTTGTAGCAAATAACTTTTATGTGAAAATCAGTATTGTAGATGGGGCTGAAGATATGGCTAACTAGGCTCCCACTAATAGTTTTTCTATGATAGAAAAACTAACCTGAAACACTTATTATGATAAGTAATAACAATAATAAAGTATAATACCAACACGAATACCTGCATTCTGGTGAGCTTTTAATAACAGGCTCGATGACTCAGGACTTTCATACATGATGCCTTACCTGGGAGTGTGCTTCTTGTATTAAATGGAGAAAATATGTATGTAAATATAGATATAGTTTGGATAATTTGAAATTTTATGTAATAAAACCCATTTATCACGGTCAATTAGCTCAAGAAAACTCAATACTGTTTAAAATGAGAAATCAACCACTTTTTAGACAACTAAAAGTATCAAAGCATGACTGACTTTAGAAAGGTGTCCTATGGGAGGAGCCAAGATGGCCGAATAGGAACAGCTCCCGTCTGCAGCTCCCAGCGTGAGCGACGCAGAAGACGGTGATTTCTGCATTTCCATCTGAGGTACCGGGTTCATCTCTCTAGGGAGTGCCAGACAGTGGGCACAGGTCAGTGGGTGCGCGCACCGTGCGCGGGCCGAAGCAGGGCGAGGCATTGCCTCACTTGGGAAGCGCAAGGGGTCAGGGAGTTCCCTTTCCGAGTCAAAGAAAGGGGTGACAGACGGCACCTGGAAAATAGGGTCACTCCCACCTGAATACTGCGCTTTTCCAACGGGCTTAAAAAACGGCGCACCACGAGATAATATCCCGCACCTGGGTTGGAGGGTCCTACGCCCACGGAGTCTCGCTGATTGCTAGCACAGCAGTCTGAGATCAAACTGCAAGGCGGCAGCGAGGCTGGGGGAGGGGCGCCCGCCATTGCCCAGGCTTGCTTAGGTAAACAAAGCAGCAGGGAAGCTCGAACTGGGCGGAGCCCACCACAGCTCAAGGAGGCCTGCCTGCCTCTGTAGGCTCCACCTCTGGGGGCAGGGCACAGACAAACAAAAAGACAGCAGGAACCTCTGCAGACTTAAATGTCCCTGTCTGACAGCTTTGAAGAGAGCAGTGGTTCTCCCAGCACGCAGCTGGAGATCTGAGAACGGGCAGACTGCCTCCTCAAGTGGGTCCCTGACCCCTGACCTCTGACCCCTGAGCAGCCTAACTGGGAGGCACCCCCCAGCAGGGGAACACTGACACCTCACACGGCAGGGTATTCCAACAGACCTGCAGCTGAGGGTCCTGTCTGTTAGAAGGAAAACTAACAAACAGAAAGGACATCCACACCAAAAACCCATCTGTACATCACCATCATCAAAGACCAAAAGTAGATAAAACCACAAAGATGGAGTAAAAACAGAACAGAAAAACTGGAAACTCTAAAAAGCAGAGTGCCTCTCCTCCTCCAAAGGAATACAGTTCCTCACCAGCAACGGAACAAAGCTGGATGGAGAATGACTTTGACGAGCTGAGAGAAGAAGGCTTCAGACGATCAAATTACTCTGAGCTACGGGAGGACATTCAAACCAAAGGCAAAGAAGTTGAAAACTTTGAAAAAAATTTAGAAGAATGTATAACTAGAATAACCAATATAGAGAAGTGCTTAAAGGAGCTGATGGAGCTGAAAACTAAGGCTCGAGAACTACTTGAAGAATGCAGAAGCCTCAGGAGCCGATGCGATCAACTGGAAGAAAGGGTATCAGCAATGGAAGATGAAATGAATGAAATGAAGCGAGAAGGGAAGTTTAGAGAAAAAAGAATAAAAAGAAATGAGCAAAGCCTCCAAGAAATATGGGACTATGTGAAAAGACCAAATCTACGTCTGATTGGTGTACCTGAAAGTGATGGGGAGAATGGAACCAAGTTGGAAAACACTCTGCAGGATATTATCCAGGAGAACTTCCCCAATCTAGCAAGGCAGGCCAACGTTCAGATTCAGGAAATACAGAGAACGCCACAAAGATACTTCTCAAGAAGAGCAACTCCAAGACACATAATTGTCAGATTCACCAAAGTTGAAATGAAGGAAAAAAATGTTAAGGGCAGCCAGAAAGAAAGGTTGGGTTACCCTCAAAGGGAAGCCCATCAGACTAACAGCAGATCTCTCGGCAGAAACCCTACAAGCCAGAAGAGAGTGGGGGCCAATATTCAACATTCTTAAAGAAAGGTGTCCTATTTTACTCTAAGTACTATGACATTTTGCAAA
The DNA here is from genome assembly GCF_000001405.40 of Homo sapiens. NCBI lineage: Eukaryota > Metazoa > Chordata > Mammalia > Primates > Hominidae > Homo > Homo sapiens. Next base: position 110,890,587 of record NC_000003.12, read on the forward strand.
ATTGCTAATTCTAATTTGAAATCCTCACCAAACCATGAAATTTCTTCAAATGTGGTTGTAACCTGTTACCTCCAAAGCATCCTTGAGGATATTTGCCACCACTCTTGCAACTCATTCTATTCTCTTCCTAACTACAGCAATATAAACTTTGAAACCTGGAAATATATTCTTTCTCATTTACAAATGCATCAGAGGAGATATAAACTCCCTTTCTCTTGGTTATGAGTAAGGGGTCAAGACACATGGGAGCAGAAAAGTTTCAAAACTAAGTGCTTGTGTAGATCTTTCCTTATCTGAAACCTGTATTCTTCCAACAGTACAAAGCCTTGTTCCAGGCATGAAAAGAACTAACATACTGGTCACATTTCCAGTGATTCCAGTAATCATCAGAGTCAGTGCTAAGGACAAAAGAAAATAAGTTATATTATTTCTTTCTTATGCAGATACTCTGCACATTTATTTATATTTGTATTTTTATTTATTATTCTTACATGAATTGGGAAACTGGGACAATTAGGAAATAACAAGTAATAAAGCTACAGGGAAACTCCTAAACTCTTCTTGAACATACTCCCTCAAAAGAAGGTGTAAGATTAATTTAAACTCTTACATCCTGGGAAAAGGATTAACCTAGCATACCAGAACAAGAGGGAAATGGAATGATCTTGAACTTTTCTTAAAGTAAAGCACTTATCTTCTTTAGGATTCTCAGAAGAACTCAGGATTCTGTGAAAATCTGACTACAGAATGACAAGGAAGAAACATTACTTTGTGTGACTATGTTTTCAATACAGATGGCTAGAGAACACCAAAGGTACCTTTCAGAAGGGAGAGCTAGGAACCCTACTAACAAGTGACAAAAAAGAAACCAAATATTGGTTAGGGATGGAGGAAGTGATAGCTGTGTAGCAGCCAGGACATCCTGAGGCTTATTCAAGTTAGAAAGTGGCGGAATTGGCCGGGTGTGGTGGCTCACGCCTGTAATCCCAGCACTTTGGGAGGCCGAGGTGGGGCATCATGAGGCCAAGAGATTGAGACCATTCTGGCCAACATGGTGAAACCCTGTCTCTACTAAAAGTACAAAAATTAGCTGGGCGTGGTGGCGCTTGCCTGTAATCCCAGCTACTCCGGAGGCTGAGGCAGGAGAATTGCTTGAACCCGGGAGGCAGAGGTTGCAGCGAGCCGAGATCGTGCCACTGCACTCCAGCCTGGCGACAGAGCGAGACTCAGTCTTAAAAAAAAAAAAAAGAAAGAAAGAAAGAAAAAAGAAAGTGGCAGAGTGGCAGAATTTCAACAAAATATTGAAGATGAAGAATACAAAATGAATCTGTAGTCAAAGGTAAAAGAAAATGAAAGGAGTTGGACATGAAAGGTCTCCATTTGGTCGTCGATATCAGGAAACACTACCGAAAATGATGAAATTGTATCACTTCAATCCTGAGTGAAATACACATGAATTTTGGGAACAACTTATTCCAGAGAGAATCCCACCTTCAACCTAATGGGAAGGAAGTAGGAAGTAATTCCACCACTGAGTAAAAGTTCAAAGCCTCAAAGTTTTACTTTGCGTTTACTGTGGGTTTTGGCTTGAGGATCTCAGCATAAAAGCAGCTCTCTATCTCTTTGACAGGCAAAAACTCAACTAAGAGGAACAATGACATACAGAGAGAACTATAAAACTAAACACAAAGGAAAGCTCTATCGATTTCAAGTGGCTACACGTTTTGCTGAGGCTCAACTCTGGTTTTGCCGGGCCAGGTCTCAGGACCTCAGCATCACCTCCTGCCTCAGCCTGGTTGTTACCCTTTCTTCTGGGAGGCTTCTGCTTCCTAGACCTTGAGAAGGTCTGGCAGACACAGCTTAGGAAACTGCCAAAGCAGAGTGGTGGTGATGCCAAGGATGTCACTGCAGGAGAAGAGGGCCTGGGCTTCTGAGCCACCGAGAGCTCACAGGACTGGATCTGACATTCCTGATGCATCACACCGGAACCCTCTTCCTGCAGATACTGTAATCTGTCCTGTAAGTAAAAGAAATAAATTAAAAGCCCTCAAAGACAATAACCATGTGCATAAAGAAAAAAGGACATGACTCTCTGAGCCAAGCCTTTTTTTTTTTTTTTTTTTTGAGACAGAGTCTAGCTCTGTCGCCCTGGCTGGAGTGCGGTGGTGTGGTCTCGGCTCACTGCAAGCTCCGCCTCCCAGGTTCACGCCATTCTCCTGCCTCAGCCTCCCGAATAGGTGGGACTACAGGCGCCTGCCACCACGTCCGGCTAATTTTTTTTAATTTTTAGTAGAGACGGGGTTTCACCATGTTAGCCAAGATGGTCTCAATCTCCTGACCTCGTGACCCGCCCACCTTGGCCTCCCAAAGTGCTGGGATTACAGGCGTGAGCCACTGTGTGCAGCCGCCAAATCTTTTATGTTCTATCTGGGACCAGTGACCCCAGTTTGTTTCTCAAGCTCCATACCCCCAATTCTTCCTACTCCAGGTGAAGAGCTGTCACTATTTTTCTTACGGAAGAGTGACAATCCCAGGATTTTGCCACCCCTACCTCATGGAGAAGGTCAGGAGTATCTTCCTGGGCACTGAGTAGAGTTGGCTTTTTGTCTACAGCCTCATCTTCTTCACTTTGTGGTGGTGTTGAAGGTGTTGGAGGAACAGGGGAGCACTGGGCCTCCATTTTCTCCTTCCTCCTTCTTTTTGTCCTTGTGGCCTTCTTATGATGCCTATACTTTTTGAGGAGTGGGTCTAGCTTTCTCCTCTGGACTGGAAGCATGGCGGGATCATGTGAAACCTCAGCCACACGACTCTCTGGTGTCCCCTCCAATGGCTCTTTTGATGATTTCACACTTCTTTTCAGAGGGTCTTTTTCCCGTAGATGAAATCTCTCTTCTGTATCCTGAGCATCTGCTGATGTGTGATGTGCTCAAGTCATCGAGAACATGTCTTGGGATAGAGATTGGAGATTCCCTATCTTTTTCATTGATGAATTTTTTTTTGACCCACTATGGTGACCCCAGCCAGCTTTGCAGGAACAAGGAGCTCACAACACAAGGACCAAGAGTCAAATGCTGAAGAAAGTAGTTAGTACAGTGAATCTTTCAAGTGATGTATCCTTAGCTATCATAGATACAAAAGATGTACTGATCTCAGATTTCTCCTCTGGATTTACTAAAGGAGTTCAATTACCTCCAGAAAGAGAGTCCTCAGGTTGTTCTTCTTGGCCTAAGAGATTTCACATTTCCTAAAAAGAGAGAGAAAGTCATTGAAGTACTTGCTCCATGGACAATGGAGTTCCTTCTAGTCACACATAACCACAGTTCACAAAAACTCTACCAAACATCATAAATTCCTAGGTAGTAATTATATTTAACAACTTACCAGAATGTGTATCAGAATTATCCAGGGTGTTTGTGAAAATACTCATTTATAAGCTGTACCCCAGACCTACTTAGAATCTCGAAAGCTGGATATAAGGAATTTGCATTTTTTTCCTACTAATTCAGTTGATTTTTATGCATCCTAAAATTTGAAAACTACGTCTTTAGAGGGACACTGAATCCAGTATTTTACAGGGCTATGAAGATGACTGTTAAAAAAATAAAATCTCACTTTCCCCTACAGATATTTCCCTAATGATGTCAGTCCATAATGATATTTCTCCTCTGAAATCTTTTAATCATTATCACTTAATTTGGTATGTTATCCTTTATTACATTCTATTTTAATTTAAGTTTGAAACCTTGTATGTATATCTTCTAACCAGATTATAAGTTTCTCAAAGGCAGGGATGCTCTTAGACTTAGTGTTCCACTCTGGCTTGCCAGTATTAGGAGCTTAGTAAACTGAATGAATATAAATATGAATAGGTTTACGTCCCAGTATAAAATGACTGATGTGAGATGAGACTGCTCTGTAAGAAGAGTTCTAGAGTAACCATGTAAAGAGGACATGAGCCCTGGGAACAACCTAGTCCAACTCCCAAATTTTACAAATGGGGAAGATGAGGCTCAAGTAAGACAGCGACTTGCCTAAAGATGAGGTTGGCAAACTTTTTCTGTAAAGGGCCAGGCAGTAAATACTGGAGGCTCTGTGGGCCATATGGTACTATCAGAAGTATTCATCTCAGTATTGTAGCAAGAAAGCATTCGTAAACAATGAGTAAACAAACAGTCATAGCTATGCTCCAATAAAACTTTATTTTCCCAAACAGATGGTGGTCAAGATTTGGCCTGCAGGCTATAGTTTGACAACCTCTGGCTTAAAGTCCTACAACTAGTTAGCCACAAAACTGAGATTAGAAGTCAAGTCACCTAACTCCCAGCAAGTTCTCTTTCTACAGAAGAGCAGAAGACTAGAATGAGAAAGAATTTTTTTCAGTGAAAAGAAGGGCTGTCAAAGAAGAGGTCAAAATATGCCTGGGCAAATAATACTTCTATGCTCTCTGATGACCCTTAGTCATTTACACAACTAGTTAGCTAAATTCTGAAACTGGACAATTTTCAAACAAATTCATAGATTGGCCTTCAAAAGGGTGAGGGAGGGGAGTTAGGCTCCACATTTTCTATCACACTTGCCTAGAAAACCATGCTATTTAGTCTCTTTTTAAGCAATAGAAAAGCCTACAGATAGATAATGGAAAATACTTTATTTGCTCATCTTTCGAAATTACTGTGACCTGTGAATATGGTTCCACATTGCAGAGTCCAGGGATCAAAGTTTCAAGCAACTATCAGAGAAACATGGAAACTGAGATATGATTCCTAGGTTATTGAAGAAGCTAAAACTTTACTTCCTAAACCAAGATGCTCTTTAATAACAAAGGTAGTAAGAGTATTAAAGATTAAGTTCCCCAAAGTCTTGAGAGTATTTTTAAATTTGGGAATTTCTGAGAACTTTGAAGTCCATCTTGAACTTTCTGTTCTATTTTTACTCCACCTCTAACGTGCTCCTCACCTGTCATTATTTTGCCTTCACATAGTAGATGCTGAACAAATATTTGTTGACTTATAAATTGAAGGATTAGTGAAAGAATGAATAAAACAAATGCTTTGAGAAAGTTCCTTGGCTCGTGGCTATAGAGAATAAAGCAGGACTGGCAATTTCTGCCAGAGGATATTCAATGCTTTTTTGTTACCCTTCGGCGAAGCTAACAGTGCCTTCACATTGCAAATGTCAATGAAAGTTTCATGAATGAATTAATACATTTGATGTAGGCCACTTAAGTTATAATTACCTGTCACAAAAGATGGTATCAAAAGAATTTATTTACTAATATATTAACATGAAATTCTTTATATTAGTAATTGGGTTTCATTTAATACTGCTGGGAAAGTTTGGTAAAATCTCTGAGAGGGAAAAAGCCCCATGTAATATGACAGAATGCTGGCCCACCTTCTATCTGTTCCCTCTATCAAGAGCAACTATAGAGGCAGCAACTATAAGAGCATCAACCACAGAAGCCCCCAAACAGGTGGAGATAGGACTAAAAAAGGAGTAAACGTGACAAATTCAAGCCTCAAAAAGTCAACCTTGCTTCTCCATCACCTTAGAAATGGCCCTGAGTTAGGCTCACATCATGCTTCAAGTGTACTTTTACAAGGTTCTACTCTGAGTCTGGCCTCTGTTATTTGGAATCCACCCTCCATAAAAGAGCTAGAATGTATCTTTCTAAAAGAAATCTGATCATGTGACTCCTCTGACTAAAGCTCTGCTCCCTACAGGTCCTTGATGATCTGATTCCATGCCATCTGTCCAACTTCAACTCCAACACTCACCCTCAGGTATCTTATGCTGCTGCAGAAACAGACTGCTTGCCATTTCCTGAGAGCACCATACTTCTTTAAACATTCATCCTTTTACCTGCCATGCCCCTGCCCCTCTTCACTACCTGGCCTACCTATATTACAATTTCTAAGAAAATTAGCTGACTTCCTCAGGCAGAAAAAAATTGATTTATATTCTTGCATAACATTCTGTCCCTAAAAATACCATTCGACTGAATTATAATAAGCTGTTTAACTATCTATCATCTTCAAAAGGCCTGGAGTTCCCTGAGGAACTCTCTAATTACTTTATCCCTAGCATCTCCATGGTGCTTGGCACCAGGAGGGCATTCAGTCAATGTTTGTGGATTTCAAAATGCAAGTTTTTATAGACTGCCTCCCAGAACCTGGGCTCTAGGGGCCAATTCTCCCCTTTATCTGGGCCTCTTTCTGAGGAGGACAAAGCTGAACAGGTCTGGCTAGGTACTCAGAAAAGAGCTGCTCAGGTAGTGGTTAACACCACTCAGTCCAATTCTATTCTAGAAGCATTCTTCCACCCACATTCTTATTAGAATCATACGAATAAGGAATGCTACCTAAGGAGGTCCTTTGGTCATTCAGACCCCCGGCTCCCCTGCAGGTCCACTTCCTTCCTGCCTTATCAGATTTCTCTATATTCCTGGTAGACCCTCAGCATGCCGTGGCCATCCCTACCTCCCTATGCTGGTCCATGTGGAGCCTCCCTGAAATCTCAATGATCCCTGCGTTTTCAGTTTTTAACCCAGAATCAGCTGTCTCATCCCCAGAGAACAACACCCAGCATCTTCTGTTTGGTGTCCCTATCCTGAGGAACCTCTTCCCCTAGGACTAGATGTGCTGACATGCAAGAATGCTATTCAAACCACATGGATCTTTTACATAACAAGATGCAAAAGAGGTTTGTACCACATGAATCTCACTGAGTCTGGAACACATAATTTCCCTGGATTTCACACATTAGAAATAATTGGGTGTATAAAACATATGAATTCACATCACAATCTGAGTCCATTTGTCTCCCCAAACCTGTTTCACTTCAACTTTCTTTGTGAATAATTTTTTCCCCATTTTCACCTATTACCCTAGGCAAAGCTGAGAGGTTCACAGCCCTTAGATGAATTTGCTGCCTAAGCAGACTCAAAGCCAACTTAGAAGTCTTAAACAACAAATTTTTGGCCACTAAAGTTTTAAATGGTCCTGAAGTAGAGACTAGAGAAAAAATTCACTAATCATTATTGACAGTGAAGTGACTTTCCTTCTTTAATGGGAAAGAAATGATTGGCATGAAGCAACTTTGTTTCTCAGTGACTCGCTAGAGAATTAAATAACTGAAGCATCAAACAACAATTTTCTTTGAAGATGACCTTTTTCATATTAAATGAAAAGCTGAAGAGCTAGTCTCAAAGGAAAAGTAAATGAATAATCTGTGAGGGCAACTATTCCTTCCTGAGTAGACAGTTAAAAAAGAGAGAGAGAGAGGGAGACTAAAATATAATAGTAAACATCACAGACTGTTGCATTACAAATTAAGTGCATCTTCCATTTTCAGGGTAACACTGAGAGTCTACCACGAATCAGACACTAGAATAGGAGCTCTTCAAGATGGTTATCAAAAAACTTAAACACTCATCAACATAATTTAAATAGTTGTTTTCTAACGTAGCAGACATCAGGGTCACATGGAGGGCTTTCAAAATACATCACTGGGCTCCATCCCTAGTGTTTCTGATTCTGTAGGTCTTGATCCAGGAGAATTTGCATTTCTTTTTGTTTGTTTGTTTTGTTTTTTTCTTTTACTTTAAGTTCTGGGATACATGTGTAGAACGTGCAAGTTTGTTATATAAGTATACATGTGCCATGGTGATTTGCTGCACCTATAGACCCATCATCTAGGTTTTAAGCCCCGCATGCATTAGGTATTTGCCCTAATGCTCTCCCACACTTTGTCCTCCAACCTCCAACAGGCCCCAGTGTGTGATGTTCCCCTCCCTGTGTCCATGTGTTTTCATTGTTCAACTCCCACTTATGAGTGAGAACATGTGGTGTTTGGTTTTCTGTTCTTGTGTTAGTTTGCTGAGAATGATGACTTCCAGCTTCATCCATGTCCCTGCAAAGGACATGATCGCATTCTTTTCTATGGCTGCATAGTATTCCATGGTTTATATATGCCACATTTTCTTTATCCAGTCTATCACTGATGGGCATTTGGGATGGTTCAAAGTCTTTGTTATTGTAAATAGTGCTGCAATAAACATACGTGTACGTATGTCTTTATAGTAGAATGATTTATAATCCTTTGGGTATATACCTAGTAATGGGATTGCTGGGTCAAATGGTATTTCTGCTTCTAGATCCTTGAGGAATTGCCACACTGTCTTCCACAATGGTTGAACTAATTTACACTCCCACCAACAGTGTAAAGTGTTTCTATTTCTCCACAGCCTTGCCATCATCTATTGTTTCCTGACTTTTAATAATCATCATTCTGACTGGCGTGAGATGGTATCTCATTGTGGTTTTGATTTGCATTTCTCTAATGACCAGTGATGATGAGCCATATGCAGAAAACAGAAACTGGACCCCTTCCTTACTCCTTATACAAAAATTAACTCAAGATGGATTGAAGACTTAAATGTAAAACCCAAAACCATAGAAACCCTGGAAGAAAACCTAGGCAATACCATTCAGGACATAGGCATGGCCAAAGACTTCATGACTAAAACACCGAAAGCAATTGCAACAATAACCAACATTGACAAATGAGATCTAATTAAACTAAAGAGCTTCTGCACAGCAAAAGAAACTATCATCAGAGTGAAATGGCAACCTACAGAATGGGAGAAAATTTTTGCAATCTACCCATCTGATAAAGGTCTAATATCTAGAATCTACAAGGAACTTAAACAAATTTACAAGAAAAAACAAACAACCCCATCAAAAAGTGGGTGAAGGATATGAACAGACACTTCTCGAAGACATGTAGGCAGCCAACAAAAATCTGAGAATTTGAATTTCTAACAAGTTCCTGGGTAATGCTACTGGTCTGCAGACTGCACTCTGAGAACAGCTGCAAGATGAGGCACACTGACACAAAATAATTAAAAAAACAGGAATTTCTAACCACTTACAATGACCAAATGTGAGATGCATAGATTCTGAAATGATTATCTGGGGAATTGTAAACTCCAGCCATGCTGTCCACCATCTTGGGGCTTTTCAGAGAATATAGCCAAAGGCAATATGCCTGAAATGTGGGTACTTTTGACATTGGATTTGCCAACAGGTCTTTTCTCCATGAGGACCTCAGCACCCAACATCTCCCCTCCCAGGTTCAACCTCAGACTAGTTACAAAGCTCCAAAATGCGAATGTCAATGAAGTTGTCTAACTATTTAAAGGCTAGGAATGCACATATAAAGCAGTCACAAAATAGTTTTACTTTTCTAAATAAAATAATTGAGTATCATCCTTTTGTTAAGTACCTGCTCTTTACTAAAATTTCATGATCTCATTTTAAAACTTTACCCCTCTGGGCTAAAAATCAGTGCAGAAGATGAGATGCTATAACCTTTGATTTAGCCTAATAAAACAGTAACAAATAACATATTGAGTGGGTGGTTAAATCTGATAATATTTTGTGCTGAATTTTCTGTAGTAATTCAATTAAAAATCCTATTGGCCAGCCACCAGAAAGTATACAGATCACCAAAGTTTTATAGCATTCCATATTTATTCTTAAAATAGCCTATATTAATTTGGTGCCTTTACTTACTAACTTAAATACCTCAAGTAGAGTTTCTTCCAAATATAATTTAGAATAACCATTTATATTTGTGCTGTTTAAAAATCTCTGTTGGCTCATGCCACTGCAGTCCTTAAAATTCCCATTAAAGAGAGAAAAAAACTAATTAGAAAGAGAATATATTACAAAAGCTGTATTAATATGACCCCCACAATATTTCTTAAAGCTTCTGAAGAACCAATTTACTCTGGCTCCTCTATGCTTTCCTTCAATTAGTAGGGCCCCCAGAAAAGCAAAATTGCCACTCAAAGAAAGCTGAAGCCATTCAGAATCACTGAATTGTTTGGTTGCATTTAATCCTGCCAGGGTTCCTAGCCAAGGAGTCAATGATCCTAGGCTCTCTTCATGCCTTTTCCAATGACAGCCTTGAAGCATTCCAGAAAACTTTAGCACTTCCTTTTTTAACCAAAAATTGCACATAACTCTCCCAAATTCTTAGTCTATAATTTCTCATAAAACTCTTTGAGATCCTCTTGTGAAGACAAATGGCAAGGATTATTGGACTTTAAATTGTGATCCTTCAATATTATATGCACTAGATCATAACTCTATGGCTTTGGTTCCCTCATAAAACTAAACCACAGAGTCATTCTTTTCATTTCAAGCTTAACAGCACACAGGCCCATGGGTGAAGCAATATAAACACTCTGGAGTAATTTCTCAAAACCAAATCTCTTCTCAAAAACAGACTAGCAACTCAGTGGTGTGTAATCTCTCCTCTGAACCTGTGAAGTTTGTAGTTCTCAGGCCACCCAAGTAGAATAATGAGAATAATGTTCATGTGTTAACGTGGGGCAGGCCTAAGAATTTTCTGTAATTACAGAACTGGGGGTTAGAACCAGTTCTACCATTCTGTTGCCCCAGATAAGTCACCAAGTCAGGTGATTCCTTTTGGGGGAGAAAAGTGAAGTCTCAGGTTTACAGATTTTTATTTTTTACCTTAGTTCACAGAATTTGTTTAATCGAAATCACTGGTTTATGACACGCTCTGGCCATTGGTCCATGCATGGCCCTCTTTTTTAATTTATTACTTTAAATTGGCATTTTTAACACACATACTCTAAGGTATATAGCTGAGAAAAAATTTTGCAAAATATGCACTGAAGTATTCATATAAATGTTCATAGTTGTACTATTACAATAGCAAAAACCTGGAAAAAATCAGATGTCCATTGTCAGGATACTGTAGTAGACTTTCACAGGGGAATAGTAAACAAGAGTCAAATGAATAAACTACAGCTATTCACAACAATATGGAGTTATTTAATGTTTCTGAGTCTCTGTTTTGACCTCCTAAATGAAGACAATATCATTTACCTTATTATTTTCTGAAAATAAAGCAGATACTGTAGGCAAAAACCCTTAGAAAATTATAACTAGTAAATGTTACTATAACTAGTTAATGTCACTTATTTTCCTCCATATTCCCGATCACTTCTCAGGTTGTACAAGAATAATCTGGAAACATCACACTAAAGAAGAGGAAAGCAGTATAATCTGGAGGACTCAAATTTAGAGTCACACCAAAGGGATCCAAATCCCTGATTCAGCAATTATTTTCTGTGTGAACTCAGGTAAATTAACCTCTCCAAACCTCAGCTTTCCCTCATGTGAAGTAGGAATAAAATTAGTAACTATTTAATTGGACTTAAATGAAGTAACCCCAGTTCTTATTAGCACACTGCCTGATACACCATAATAAGTGCTCACATCAGTGATAGGGTTATATTAACAGGGATCCCTTTTACATTTGTCAAGTGAACAGAGTTGCTTTCCCCTGCCCTTACCTTCCCCTCAGTCTCAACACAATACACACACACACACACACACACACACACACACACTCTCTCTCTCTCTCATGCACAAATATATTTGCTTTGCTTTTTCTTTTCTTGCTCTTCAACTCCTCATATCTATAATATAATTGAGAGCAGTAAATAAGCACAATAATTAGACCCGAGGTTTCTGCCTTGGACATCAGGCAATAAATAGGCACAATTCAGTCTAATTAAAGCACCCTTAAATGTGAAGTTACCCTAAGAACTTTTCTCAGAATTTCAATTGAAAGTGAGGTTCATTTGCATCTTATTACTTAAAAGAACTGCAAATAGGGAAAGGCAACAATTTCCACAATCCACATAGAGTAATAAAAAGTATGGGAGTAATTCTTTAAATGTAAACCTAATTGAAACAAAAATGATTAAATGATTGTATTTAAAACAAACATTTAGAAGGACATGCTTTACATTTGTTGAATTTGGTAAACCAGACACCTGCCTGGTCAGGTCACGAGGGAAGAAACTGGGACCTGAAACTAGACCTACCCATCAGAGAGGATGGCTCAGTTGCAGGTGCTGGGAGAATGTCCAGTCTGGCAAGCAGAACAAAGTATCTGAAGAATATGGCAGAACACAAGGATTGATAATGCAGCCAGGAAATTGGTATCAGGAGGCAAACATGAAAGAGCAGAAGTTCACTCAATACGAAACCACGGCTTGGTGCCAAGAAGCAGCTAAACGTGTCCCAAATTCAGGCAGGCAGCATCAGAAAGCCTTATCTACCATAGTAGAGCCACAGTCAGACTGTGGAACAGGAGCTGGACCCCGGTGGCTAAGAGAGAGAAAGAATGGCAAACGTAAGGTTGGGTCTTAGGTGTTCTTAGAGGACCTGGGCAGACCTGGCAAACTTTTAAAACAGGAACTCAATTCTGGGTAATGGGAGAAGAATGCGGGTATGAGAACTGCAGCATAAGGTAGATACTGAATCCAAGGAACGAGAGACATACATGACTCTAGAAATTACAGCAAAAGCCAAAGGCAGACCGGAAGCCAAACTAGCTTGATGCTAAGGAAGAAAAGTATTGGATTGGAACTCCTTAAATGCCTCCTCTCCCAGGTAAAGCCTGGCCACAGGGAGCTTAGAAGGCTGAGTGAACAGGCTGAAGTCATGGTGAGCAGAGAGGTCTGCAGAGACTGGAAACTAGGAAGGACTTGACAATAACAAGATCAGGAAAACCAGGCCCATAGTTCCAATTTTGTAATCAATATAATTACCCTGAAACTTTCTAAGCAACAAGTAGCAGCACTCTTATTTAAATCAAATCTCGCACGTATAATTAAGAAAATCCATGTATGTTTGTTTTAATGAATTTGACCTATAGTAACAAGATGGGTTATTTTTGCTGCTCAGTCCACTGTCCACAGAAGATGAAAAATAAAAGTAACCCTTTTCCTATTTTTCTCTCCTTTTCATTAGTGTGTAAATTTAACCTATGAAAATGAATTGCCTTTCTGAATTTCTTCTCATCTCTGAAATACAAAGATGTCTCTCTCTAAAAAAACAGTAAATACATTTTTTAAGTTTTTGTCATTCTTCTGAGAGCAACATCTTCTAACAGGGCCCTAAAGCATTGAACCCTAATAATAAAAATGCAATATAAAAGTTATTAATGTATTTAGCACACCACTATGTGTTACTACCTGCCACAAAGTGACACTCACACACAAAATGTCTGTCATACCCATGGCCCAATTCACTTTGGAGAAGAATCACCAAATAGCCATCCTTGGAAGTCAAGGATCTCCTCTTTTGGTATGAACACTCATAAGATGAAGACAGAGTAGTTTCATAAGCCAAACATGCCCATTTCTGTTGTGACAGCCTACCCCTAAAATGTAACAGCCAGACCACTGGCAGGCTAGACCCCTAGACTATACAGAAGCAACAAGAATCAGCAACTGGCAAGTGTCTTCATAGCCAATGTCGGCATGTCCTAATGAGCAAGTGATATTTAGCTGAATAAGTATTCATGAGCAACTGCTTCTGGAATGCTCCAAAGCCTGATAATTAACAGCTGTGTGCTGCAATTAATTTTTATTTATGCTTTAGATATCCACGCAAGATATTATTTCTTGTGTATGATGGATTCATACTTCATGTCGAGTCTCAAAGCAGCAATAAGATAGAAACACCAATGTTGTTTTTGTTTTTATTTTCTTCTCAATTCAAATGCTCTGCTATTTGTAACTCAAACCACCACACTGCCTTGCATTCAGTAAGAAAATTCCAAAGCCCATGCAAAGACCATGAGGGAAAAGCTGGCAATGGCATCCAAGGCTTTCCCCAGGTATTCAGAAACCCTTGGAGGGTGTCCAAAGCAATGATCTAAATTAAGATGATGACACTGAAGTCTCGGCAGTCTCAATTCACCTCAGGGGCCCCTGTGGTCATGTTATTTCATTCAACAAATGTTAATTGAATGTCCACTATATGCATGGTACTGTTCAAAAGTTTGCAAAATTCAGGGGTTGCTTTTCCAGGTCCTTTCTAGTTTTATGATTTTATAGTTAAGAAAATACACAGACCAATACCTCAAGAAGTTTACAATTCTGAAGGTGACATCAGATTATACAAAGAAAATAACAATAACATATGACAGGATGAATAAGTGCCATACAATTGGCAATACAAGAGGCAAGTGTTGTAAGACAGCAGAGAGGAGAGTGCTTTGAATATCAAGTTGAAGAGCTCTATGGCCGTGGTTCTCAAACTCTAGTACACAGCTGGGTTTGTTAAACAAATCACTGGGCCATACCAGCAGAATTTCTTTTCTTTTTTTTTTTGAAATGGAGTCTCACTCTGTCCCCCAGGCTGGAGTGCAGTGGCCCGATCTCGGCTCACTGCAACCTCCACCTCCCTGGTTGAAGTGATTCTCCTGCCTCAGCCTCCCAAGTAGCTGGGACTACAGGCATGTGCCACCACGCCTGGCTAATTTTTTTGTATTTTTAGTGGAGACCGTGTTTCACTGTATTAGCTAGGATGGTCTCAATTTCATGACCTCATGATCCGCCCGCCTCAGCCTCCCAAAGTGCTGGGATTACAGGTGTGCAGTAGGTCTGGGGCAGGACCCCAAAATTTACATTTCTCACAACTTTCCAGGTAATGCTCATGGGGCTGGTTCAAGAACATCTTGAGACCCAGTGCTCCATAAGAAGCCATCAAAGTTTACTTACTGCAGAAGGGGAAAATAAAGCAATATGATGAAACAGTGTTTTGAGAAAGTTAATCTAGAGACAGTGGATAGGATCTGTTAGAAGGAGGGTGACAGATTTACAGCCAGCTCCAGGGAGGGAAATGATCCAGGACAGAAGGCTGAGATTTCAAAGAACTGGCTTGACTAGCACAAAGTTGCTATTTGGAGACTTTAGTTCAAAAGGATTCCTAATGCCAGGAACAGACCTTGAATAAGGATAATTTGGCCCTCCTGTTTCCAAATCTCTCCAGAGATGATAGAGAATCTCTTGAAAACCACGTACAGCCTTAACATGGAGCTGTCCATATTATCCAGATAGAAGAGGTTCAGAACCCTCTATTCATATTTTTATCAAGTTTCTCCCTGCATTATAAACTCCTACCATTTGAGGCACTACTTTAGGTAAAGGTGCTGACTCCCTAAGGCCTGTTAAAGTTGGTATATATTAGCCTGCACCTCAAAGTCTTGCTCCTTCTGTCACCACCAGGGAACAAAAGTGGTATTTCTCTTGAAACTCCAGCTTTAGGAACTCAGCTCTCCATAATGTTCTTTTATATAATAAGTCATTTGGATCCTCACATACTCCAGCCAGTAATTGAAGACATAAGAATCTCCACAGCTTTACTGCAAGAAGGGGAGTCTTTGAACACATGTTATACGCATGTCAGCAAATTGAAGGTATGTGGTGGTTACCAAGTTGTCTTTTCTCACTTCCCCTCAAAAGAATAATACATATTAAATAATAATAACAATAAATAATAATAATAATAAAGGTGGCTTGCTTTATTATTTCAGGTCAGCCAGCTAAGGCCTCTTAGCACCATGTCACACCGTCCACCTCTTATCTCAGCCCCCTCAAGCCAAATATCCCAACAGCTTTTCTCAGCTACTTGACATACATCTGCCCTTCCCCTCACCCCAAACCCAAAGGCCATTCCTGACCTCTGTCATAAGTTTACAGAGTTTCACTCAATAATAGGGGAGTCTATCTGAAGTCACATTAAGCTTCTTGTTCCCAAGACCTGGCCCCTCTTTGCTTTGTTCACCTGTTCTGGTCATTCATGGTGTATGCCAAAGTCCCTGTCTCCATTTCTTGCAGATGTGGGGCCTGCTGACACAGACATTTGTCACTTTGTCAGCCTGGGCCCTGTCCCAACCCTTTCTCAAACATTCTAGAGTAAATTTACAGCCATCTGTAATCCATCCCTTTCAATTAAAAAATGGGGAGGGGAGAACAAGCTAGAGAGCTTTATCAATGTTCTTTGCTATGTATTGTCCAAAGTATGAAGCCTCCACACTTCAGTAATGATGTGTAGGAGATTCCAGCCAGATTCCTCAGCCCTCCTTTACCTGCCCCTCCCCTATTTGCTCATATTTTGGCAGGGTCTACTCGGTTCCATTTTGACCAGGTTTGTCCTTCAGGTTTTCTCTGTCCATCCAAGTACTGACACCCCAGGGAGAAGGGAAAAGAGCTTTGTTATGTATCCTAGTCAGCTGGCTGAAGGGCTTGCTTCCATCTTGTTCTGTTGGCATTTAGTAAGTATCAGGCCGTAGACTAGTTGCTGAGGATACAAAGATGAATTACAAACAAACAAACAAGCAAATAAACATGGTTCCTAGTGTCATGGAGCTTTCAGTCTAGTGGGCATGTACCAATGCCCTGACTTCTTAAATTTATGTAAAAGACCAGAAATATTAATGTGGAAGTGATAATCCTATTTGGAAATAGGCCAGAGATTTTAAAATATTAAATGTGTATCTCATTGTGTAAGAAGTCTCCTTAAAAATTACTTTAAAAAAACGGAAAGGATTTACACCTTTTTCAGTCTGTTTGACGGCCCAGACAGAAAGGCGGTTCTAAAGATTTTGTCACAGTGTAATGCAATCTCCCTTGATTGTTGCCCCAGGTGCCTTTCCCTCAGTGAAATCTATCATTAAAAGAAACTCCTACATGTCAGATGAAATGAAATGGGGGGAAGAATAAGAGAAGGTCTTTTTCCCACCTTCCGGAGTTGGCACTAGTGAAAAATGTATTCATGAAATTGTGTTTCTAATACAAACACCAACTTTTCACCTAGCAGCAAAGCTCTTTCACTTTCTTGCTACCTTTTTTATGATTATAAAAATAATACATGCACATTGTAGAAAATTTATAAAATATAGGGAAGTATAAAGAGAAGAAAACCTGTAAGCTCATTAGCCAGTGATAATCACTTCTAATATTTTGGTTTACTTCCTTCCAGTGTTCTTCGTTTTTCTATGTAAATAAGTATTCACAAACATACAAATATTTTGCATACCTGTTATCATGCCACATATGTATAGATTTGTATCCTGCTTTTTTCTCTCATCATTAAATATAAAACACGTTTGTACAATTAAATATTATTTTAAAACATTAGCAAGGCTATCTTCATACTTATGACTTTATTTCTCCCATTAATCTAAGTCCAAATCTTCTATAAGAAAGACAGAGCTACTTCTCATTTATGTTAAACTTTACCTTGAGAACACATCAACGGAAAAGTAAAAAGAGGAAAATACTGTTAATAAAAATATCTGAAATCAATTAAGAAATAGGACATTTCTGCACACTTCACTTTCCTTCCTGAAGAAAATTCCAGAAAAGTCACAAGAGGTGAGGGTGGTGTCCAATTCTCTCTTCAGATCTAACAGGTAGGTCTTTACGATTTTATAGTAAAGTCCAGGGTCCTGACTATAGACCCTCTTCCTAGAAGCATATACGACTTTTTTTTTTTTAAGTTTGGAATTTCAGTTCAAAGACTTGGTTGCACAAATACAGCACAAAGAAACCTGATTGGACAACAATCTACCTTTTAAAAACAAATTGAGATTTTTAAAATCTGGCTGGAATCTCCTCCACATCGTTACTGAAATGTAGAGGCTTCATACTTTGGTCAATACAAATTCAGAAACTTTTTAACATAAAGTTTATAGGGAACAAACTAGTATTTAAATTATATCTTAGATTTAATAACTATTGATTATTTTGAATACAGTTTTAATGTTGACTTGATGATAAAAGTAGCACATAATCATTCAAGCCACTTTGTTTTATGTCTTATTCTCTGAACAACCCTATGAGGTCTGCATGTAGGCAGAGAAATATTGCTATCCCAGTTTCAGAGACAAGGTCTTTAAGATTCTGGAAATGTTAAATGACTGGTCCGAGCTCACACAGTAAGCCAAAGAACTGGGGTCAGAAACTTTTAATGTAAGCACATCATTCTTTTCAAATAATTTATTTTAAGCATCTTTAAGAGAACTATGGTTTGCCTATATTCTGTCTTGTTCAGAAATGTATGGCATTCTGTCCAATTCTGTCACAAAACATATTTTAAGTGGAAAATTGACAGTCTTGAGTTGGCTCCAGAGGAGGGTGATTAAGACTGTGAGAACTATGGAAACCATGTTCTATCACCAATAATGGATGAAGGAATTTGGTATATTTAGCCTGGAAAGAGAAGATCAAGAGGAGATAAGAGAGTTCTTTTAATGTCTGAACGGCTGTCAAATGGACAGACAAGCTGACTCGTTCGTTCCACATTGCTCCAAATATCAGGCAAGAACAATGAATAGAACTTCAAAAGAAACAGATTCCTGCACAATAAGAGATTTGTCTTTTGAACCAATGGAACTGTTCAAATGTGGAGAAAACTACTCTCTGTAAGAGAGTGAATGCCTCTGCCCTGGACACATTTAAGGAAAAGCTGGCAGGGACGCTGTGTGATGACTTTTTTGGTTCCTTGTATCTTCCATTTATTTTTCCTTTGTTTTTCTTGGCTCATGAACGCAATATACAGTACACAGTATATGACAGAAGAGAAGCTGCTATGAGTCAGGTGCTTCCAAACTGTTTCCCAGAGGAAAAAAATCACCTGGGGTAGTCGAACGAGGAGCCTGGGAAAGTTGGGTTTAACAAGTGCCTCAGGTGAATTTTATCATCATGGAAGTTTAAGAATATTTTTCAAAACATCATTTCATTTAATCCTTACAACAATCCTGCAGGGCAGATGAGAAAATTGAGGTTCAGAGTTATTTAGCAATGTGCCCAAAGTCACATAGCTATTAAATGATAGAGAGGGATTCACAGTGAGGGAGTTTGACCTGGAATGGAGTCTGAGATATTACCCTCTACAAGACACTGAAAGGAAGACACTAAGAAAGGAAATGGGAAACTTGAAAAAAGTCTTTATTAAATGTGCATGTTGAATTTTTAAAATATAAGTCATGAGTCCTTTGCATGCACAGTAAAATGTGGAGGTTTGTAAATGATAGTATTCGGATTCAGGCAGGAACTATGTTGAAGTTCACTTTTCTGTCTTTCATGAATAATTATGAAAAGGGTGTACTAACCAAATAAATAATTTCAACATGATTACAAAGAGAATAACATTTTAATGCACTTAGCAGAAGCAATTTACATGCATACAATTAATGTGCTAATTTCAGTGATCTTTAGCTATTCATTAAAACAGGCCTGGCAGGTCCTGTACTTGGCAACACTTTGTTAGTCATTTCCTGCTATTACTTTATGTACTCAAAAGTAATCAGTCATCTATAATTTAAGAGTTTTCACTAATTAAATAGCCCTTTTTCTAATTATGTCCAAATTAGAGAGGTTAGTGTGTGGATAAATATGTTTGTGTTTGGTTCATGTATTCAGAGATGGTGATTTCTCTGCATGTGGCAACAAAGACCAACATGTGATCAATAGTCTTTAACACAGAGCATACAGGAATGTTACAGTGAGCAAGAAGGACCTTTTGACTTAAAATCTGAGCAGTAGAGAAAAAGTATTGTCATTGAGATGGGCTTTATGTTCAGCCTTGTAAACCTAGCAAGGTCTGGATTTGTTGCCCTTCAGGGAATAATACGAGGATCATCTGTTTTTTCAGGCCTTTGCCCAAGAGATGAAATGGAATGAAGGTTCAGGGAGAAAAGGAGTTAAAGGTTGTGTTTGCAGGAATGCGTTTGCTGACATTGATCTATGGGTAATTTTGTGATTGTAGGTTTATTCACAAAGGGGGTTCAAAAAACAGATCAATAATAAAGCAATGGTGAAGATGCTGAAGAACAGATGATTAATGAAAAATATGGTGAAGGTGCAATCTGCCATGTAGTATGAATGCTCCTTCATTCAGCACCCTATAAATAAATATGCATCAGATAGAACGAGAACATTCCCTTGGAATATCGTTAGAGCCAGGCAGAATCTCATCAGACCCCATGCTTCAAAGAGCAGTTCCTCATGTCCATGGAAGCAAGTTTAAATTCTCTTGTGTAAACTCTGTAAGCAGTTCCACTCTTGCATTATGCATGATTCTGACATCTTGTAACATGAGCAGTGTTCTAAAAGTGATTTCCAATTTTATTTCATGTGTTATGTTTTAACGATGCTATTTAGGTTAGCATTTTACTTTGGCCACATAGTATCTTGTTACATTTCCTCATATAGCATTTAATTACAGTAGCAGTACTATAACTTAATACTATATAGATAGACAAGGATTTAGTGTAGCCTTAAAAGAATTTGTTGCCTTTAAAGCCAATGCTTTGTTCTGTCATTTTTATTGTGCTGATTTAATATGTAATGATAAGTGTTAGGCAGGATCCCAGCTCCTCATACCAGGGAACTGATAATGAGTCGTGCTAAAGTGAATACCAAAATCTAAGACAACTAAATGTTACAGTGGGTTATGTGTCTTTCCTAGGATAACAACACTCAAGTTCTTAAATACAAAACTCTAAGAGGAATTAATCCTCAGTAATCTTGTGATGAAGCAGAAAGCTTCACTTGTCCCATTCTTGGATCTCTGTTATCCTCTTTTGCAGAAATACAGGCTTTTCTCCCTATTGACCCCTGCCCTCAAGAAAGGATTTGAAATTAGGCTTTAGCACCTAGAAAATATCATGTCAGAGAACTTACTCTCCTTATTTCATATGTATCTAAGTCTTATTATTTTGAAATACCAGTTTCCCATTTAAATTATTTAATTAGCTAGTCATCATGGGTAGTACCTGGGTAGCAAAAGTGCAAGCAGTTTTCTTTCAGATCTCTCTATTTTTTAAAGATCCAGGTAGAGACCATATCTACACTGCATGAAGGATAAAATTAAATGTTTTCAATTAAATTCTTCATTTGATCCATGAGTCAGAGAATTGAGGAATAAAATAACTATTTTTTAAAATTTTTATCTATTATTGTTATACTTTAAGTTTTAGGGTACATGTGCACAATGTGCAAGTTAGTTACATATGTATACATGTGCCATGCTGGTGTGCTGCACCCAGTAACTCGTCATCTAGCATTAGGTATATCTCCCAGTGCTATCCCTCCCCCCTCCCCCCACCCCACAACAGTCCCCAGAGTGTGATGTTCCCCTTCCTGTGTCCATGTGTTCTCATTGTTCAATTCCCACCTATAAGTGAGAATATGCGTTGTTTGGTTTTTTGTTCTTGTGATAGTTTACTGAGAATGATGATGTCCAATCTCATCCATGTCCCTACAAAGGACATGAACTCATCCTTTTTTATGGCTGCATAGTATTCCATGCTGTATATGTGCCACATTTTCTTAATCCAGTCTATCATTGTTGGACATTTGGGTTGGTTCCAAGTCTTTGCTATTGTGAATAATGCCACAATAAACATATGTGTACATGTGTCTTTATAGCAGCATGATTTATAGTCCTATGGTTATATACCCAGTAATGGGATGGCTGGGTCAAATGGTATTTCTAGTTCTAGATCCCTGAGGAATCGCCACACTGACTTCCACAATGGTTGAACTAGTTTACAGTCCCACCAACAGTGTAAAAGTGTTCCTATTTCTCCACATCCTCTCCAGCACCTGTTGTTTCCTGACTTTTTAATGATTGCCATTCTAACTGGTGTGAGATGGTATCTCATTGTGGTTTTGATTTGCATTTCTCTGATGGCCAGTGATGGTGAGCATTTTTTCATGTGTTTTTTGGCTGCATAAATGTCTTCTTTTGAGAAGTGTCTGTTCGTGTCCTTTGCCGACTTTTTGATGGGGTTGTTTTTTTCTTGTAAATTTGTTTGAGTTCATTGTAGATTCTGGATATTAGCCCTTTGTCAGATGAGTAGGTTGTGAAAATTTTCTCCCATTTTGTAGGTTGCCTGTTCACTCTGATGGTAGTTTCTTTTGCTGTGCAGAAGCTCTTTAGTTTAATTAGATCCCATTTGTCAATTTTGGCTTTTATTGCCATTGCTTTTGGTGTTTTAGACATGAAGTCCTTGCCCATGCCTATGTCCTGAATGGTAATGCCTAGGTTTTCTTCTAAGGTTTTTATGGTTTTAGGTCTAACGTTTAAGTCTTTAATCCATCTTGAATTGATTTTTGTATAAGGTGTAAGGAAGGGATCCAGTTTCAGCTTTCTACATATGGCTAGCCAGTTTTCCCAGCACCATTTATTAAATAGGGAATCCTTTCCCCAATGCTTGTTTTTCTCAGGTTTGTGAAAGATCAGATAGTTGTAGATATGCGGCGTTATTTCTGAGGGCTCTGTTCTATTCCATTGATCTATATCTCTGTTTTGGTACCAGTACCATGCTGTTTTGGTTACTGTAGCCTTGTAGTATAGTTTGAAGTCAGGTAGTGTGATGCCTCCAGCTTTGTTCTTTTGGCTTAGGATTGACTTGGCAATGCGGGCTCTTTTTCAGTTCCATATGAACTTTAAAGTAGTTTTTTCCAATTCTGTGAAGAAAGTCATTGGTAGCTTGATGGGGATGGCATTGAATCTGTAAATTACCTTGGGCAGTATGGCCATTTTCACAATATTGATTCTTCCTACCCATGAGCATGGAATGTTCTTCCATTTGTTTGTATCCTCTTTTATTTCCTTGAGAAGTGGTCTGTAGTTCTCCTTGAAGAGGTCCTTCACATCCCTTGTAAGTTGGATTCCTAGGTATTTTATTCTCTTTGAAGCAATTGTGAATGGGAGTTCACTCATGATTTGGCTCTCTGTTTGTGTGTTGTTGGTGTATAAGAATGCTTGTGATTTTTGTACATTGATTTTGTATCCTGAGACTTTGCTGAAGTTGCTTATGAGCTTAAGGAGATTTTGGGCTGAGACAATGGGGTTTTCTAGATATACAATCATGTCGTCTGCAAACAGGGAAAATTTGACTTCCTCTTTTCCTAATTGAATACCCTTTATTTCCTTCTCCTGCCTAATTGCCCTGGCCAGAACTTCCAACACTATGTTGAATAGGAGTGGTGAGAGAGGGCATCCCTGTCTTGTGCCAGTTTTCAAAGGGTATGCTTCCAGTTTTTGCCCATTCAGTATGATATTGGCTGTGGGTTTGTCATAGATAGCTCTTATTATTTTGAAATACGTCCCATCAACACCTAATTTATTGAGAGTTTTTAGCATGAAGTGTTGTTGAATTTTGCCAAAGGCCTCTTCTGCATCTATTGAGATAATCATGTGGTTTTTGTCTTTGGTTCTGTTTATATGCTGGATTACATTTATTGATTTGCGTATATTGAACCATCCTTGCATCCCAGGGATGAAGCCCACTTGATCATGGTGGATAAGCTTTTTGATGTGCTGCTGGATTCGGTTTGCCAGTATTTTATTGAGAATTTTTGTATCAATGTTCATCAAGGATATTGGTCTAAAATTCTCTTTTTTGGTTGTGTTTCTGCCCATCTTTGGTATCAGGATGATGCTGGCCTCATAAAATGAGTTACAGAGGATTCCCTCTTTTTCTATTGATTGGAATAGTTTCAGAAGGAATGGTACCGGTTCCTCCTTGTACCTCTGGTAGAATTCGACTGTGAATCCATCTGGTCCTGGACTCTTTTTGGTTGGTAAGCTATTGATTATTGCCACAATTTCAGAGCCTGTTATTGGTCTGTTTAGAGATTCAACTTCTTCCTGGTTTAGTCTTGGGAGAGTGTATGTGTTGAGGAATTTATCCATTTCTTCTAGATTTTCTAGTTTGTTTGTGTAGAGGTGTTTGTAGTATTCTCTGATGGTAGTTTGTATTTCTGTGGGATCGGTGGTGATATCCTCTTTATCATTTTTTACTGCATCTATTTCATTCTTCTCTCTTTTTTTCTTTATTAGTCTTGCTAGTGGTTTATCAGTTTTGTTGATCCTTTCAAAAAACTAGCTCCTGGATTCATTAATTTTTTGAAGGGTTTTTTGTGTCTCTATTTCCTTCAGTTCTGCTCTGATTTTAGTTATTTCTTGCCTTCTGCTAGCTTTTGAATGTGTTTGCTCTTGCTTTTCTAGTTCTTTTAATTGTGATGTTAGGTTGTCAATTTTGGATCTTTCCTGCTTTCTCTTGTGGGCATTTAGTGCTATAAATTTCCCTCTACACACTGCTTTGAATGCGTCCCAGAGATTCTGGTATGTTGTGTCTTTGTTCTCGTTGGTTTCAAAGAACATCTTTATTTCTGCCTTCATTTCGATATGTACCCAGTAGTCATTCAGGAGCAGGTTGTTCAGTTTCCATGTAGTTGGGCGGTTTTGAGTGAGATTCTTAATCCTGAGTTCTAGTTTGATTGCACTGTGGTCTGAGAGATAGTTTGTTATAATTTCTGTTCTTTTACATTTGCTGAGGAGAGCTTTACTTCCAAGTACGTGGTCAATTTTGGAAGAGGTGTGGTGTGGTGCTGAAAAAAATGTATATTCTGTTGATTTGGGGTGGAGAGTTCTGTAGATGTCTATTAGGTCCACTTGGTGCAGAGCTGAGTTCAATTCCTGGGTATCCTTGTTGACTTTCTGTCTCGTTGATCTGTCTAATGTTGACAGTGGGGTGTTAAAGTCTCCCATTATTAATGTGTGGGAGTCTAAGTCTCTTTGTAGGTCACTCAGGACTTGCTTTATGAATCTGGGTGCTCCTGTATTGGGTGCATATATATTTAGGACAGTTAGCTCTTCTTGTTGAATTGATCCCTTTACCATTATGTAATGGCCTTCTTTGTCTCTTTTGATCTTTGTTGGTTTACAGTCTGTTTTATCAGAGACTAGGATTGCAACCCCTGCCTTTTTTTGTTTTCCATTTGCTTGGTAGATCTTCCTCCATCCTTTTATTTTGAGCCTATGTGTGTCTCTGCACATGAGATGGATTTCCTGAATACAGCACACTGATGGGTCTTGACTCTTTATCCAATATGCCAGTCTGTGTCTTTTAATTGGAGCATTTAGTCCATTTACATTTAAAGTTAGTATTGTTATGTGTGAATTTGATCCTGTCATTATGATGTTAGCTGGTGATTTTGCTCGTTAGTTGATGCAGTTTCTTCCTAGTCTCGATGGTCTTTACATTTTGGCATGATTTTGCAGTGGCTTGTACCAGTTGTGCCTTTCCATGTTTAGCACTTCCTTCAGGGGCTCTTTTAGGGCAGGCTTGGTGGTGACAAAATCTCTCAGCATTTGCTTGTCTGTAAAGTATTTTATTTCTCCTTCACTTATGAAGCTTAGTTTGGCTGGATATGAAATTCTGGGTTGAAAATTCTTTTCTTTAAGAATGTTGAATATTGGCCCACACTCTCTTCTGGCTTGTAGAGTTTCTGCCGAGAGATCTGCTGTTAGTCTGATTGGCTTCCCTTTGAGGGTAACCCGACCCTTCTCTCTGGCTGCCCTTAACATTTTTCCTTCATTTCAACTTTGGTGAATCTGACAATTGTGTGTCTTGGAGTTGCTCTTCTCGAGGAGTATCTTTGTGGCATTCTCTGTATTTCCTGAATCTGAATGTTGGCCTGCCTTGCTAGACTGGGGAAGTTCTCCTGGATGATATCCTGCAGAGTGTTTTCCAACTTGGTTCCATTCTCCCCGTCACTTTCAGGTACACCAATCAGATGTAGATTTGGTCTTTTCACATAGTCCCATATTTCTTGGAGGCTTTGTTCATTTCTTTTTATTCTTTTTTCTCTAAACTTCCCTTCTCGCTTCATTTCATTCATTTCCTCTTCCATCGCTGATACCCTTTCTTCCAGTTGATCGCATCGGCTCCTGAGGCTTCTTCATTCTTTATGTAGTTCTCGAGCCTTGGTTTTCAGCTCCATCAGCTCCTTTAAGCACTTCTCTGTATTGGTTATTCTAGTTATACATTCTTCTAAATTTTTTTCAAAGTTTTCAACTTCTTTGCCTTTGGTTTGAATGTCCTCCCGTAGCTCAGAGTAATTTGATCGTCTGAAGCCTTCGTCTCTCAGCTCGTCAAAGTCATTCTCCGTCCAGCTTTGTTCCAGTGCTGGTGAGGAACTGCGTTCCTTTGGAGGAGGAGAGGCGCTCTGCTTTTTAGAGTTTCCAGTTTTTCTGCTCTGTTTTTTCTCCATCTTTGTGGTTTTATCTACTTTTGTTCTTTGATGACGGTGATGTACAGATGGGTTTTTGGTGTGGATGTCCTTTCTGTTTGTTAGTTTTCCTTCTAACAGACAGGACCCTCAGCGGCAGGTCTGTTGGAGTACCCGGCCCTGTGAGGTGTCAGTCTGCCCCTGCTGGGGGTGCCTCGGGGGTTAGGCTGCTCGGGGGTCAGGGGTCAGGGACCCACTTGAGGAGGCAGTCTGCCCGTTCTCAGATCTCCAGTTGCGTACTGGGAGAACCACTGCTCTCTTCAAAGCTGTCAGACAGGGACATTTAAGTCTGCGGAGGTTCCTGCTGTCTTTTTGTTTGCCTGTGCCCTGCCCCCAGAGGTGGAGCCTACAGAGGCAGGCAGGCCTCCTTGAGCTGTGGTGGGCTCCACCCAGTTCGAGCTTCCCGGCTGCTTTGTTTACCTAAGCAAGCCTGGGCAATGGCGGGCACCCCTCCCCCAGCCTCGCTGCCACGTTGTAGTTTGAGCTCAGACTGCTGCGCTAGCAATCAGTGAGACTCCGTGGGCGTAGGACCCTCCGAGCCACGTGCGGGATATAATCTCCTGGTGCCCCGTTTTTTAAGCCCATGGGAAAAGCTCAGTATTTGGGTGGGAGTGACCCTATTTTCCAGGTGCCGTCTGTCATCCCTTCCTTTGACTAGGAAAGGGAACTCCCTGACCCCTTGCACTTCTGGAGGGAGGCAATGCCTCGCCCTGCTTCAGCTCGTGCATGGTGCACGCACCCACTGACCTGCGCCCACTGTCTGGCACTCCCTAGTGAGATGAACCCGGTACCTCAGATGGAAATCCAGAAATCACCTTCTGCGTCGCTCATGCTGGGAGCTGTAGACGGGAGCTGTTCCTATGCGGCCATCATGGCTCCTCCCCTAAAATAACTATTTTTAATCTTACTATAGGAGGTAATCTAAGCATCTTTACTGATAACCAAGTGATTACATATGTTACTCTCCCTGGACTATAATTGATACATCTAAGAAAAAATATTTATGTGGAATATGTGTTATGTATGTAATATACTGTATGAAAAGCAACTGCTATATGCCAACTGCTTTACATACATTATTTCAATCAAGAACTCTGCATACAATCTTGCCTTGGACAAAACTGTCCAGATGAGCAGGCAGAAGTCAGGGCTGAAATCCAGTTAGGGTTCTCTTTGCCAAGTCTGATAAGAGACATGGGCAATGTTAGCCCTAACAAATGAATGCTTTTTCCTAATTGGCTCCCCCAGAGAGGGCACTTTTTTCTAATTCACTTTGTGAGCTAGTATTAGGCCTGATCTCATTCCATACTCAGAACAACACCTCAAAGAATATATGTTTATAGGTAAAGAACACAAGAGCTAGAGGGGTTAAATCACCCACCTATTGAGATGCATCAGAACTTGAAATTAGATTTGTCTGCCTTTAAATACCATGCTTCCTCCCAAAAAAAAGGGAAAGTGGGAGGAAACTCACTTATGTCCTTTGTTGATGTATATGTAGCCCAGCTGTTTGCAGCATTGTGCTAACAAAACTACAAAGCCATCAGGTTTAGTTAAAGGCAGTGAACTACATTTTGCGTTAAGTTATAACTGTATTCTACGCATGGTGTGCTTCCAGATGCAAAACAATGAGAGGAAGGAGTCTGACAGTGGTTCTCAAACTTTAGTGGGCTTCAGAATCATTTTGGAGGGCTTGTTAAACAGAGATCACTGGACCCCCAGCACAGAGTTTCTGACTCAATAGGTCAAGAATTCACCTGAAAATTTGCATTGCTAACAAGTGTCCAGGTGATGCCCATGCTGCTCATCCAGAGACTATACTGGCATAGTTTAAAGGATCTATCCATTAAAAAGAAACAAACCAGCCAAACAAACAAACAAAAAAAAAAAACCTCAAATTAAAACTAAAGAAAAGCTACTAGTCTGCAAGTGGGTAAGGAGTGTTGTCTAAGAACATAAAAGCAGCATGGGTTTTGTGTCTCATTTTTCCCTTCAATCAAGTGAATCAGCTTGCAAGATTATAATGGTATACAGAGCTTTCAATTTACAGCCAAATTGTATTAAAGATTAAAACAACAATAAAGGATAATAAGATCAATCTGACAAGATTTGGTGTTAGATGCCCTGCTTAATATTTTCATCTTTGCGAGAAGATACTGCTGGAAATGTCAGAAAACAAATAGAGAATCGGAGGCCTGCCCTATTAATTGCATATTTATTCTTATCCTGCCCTCATTTTTCATATATGGACAATCACAGTTAATCACAAAGCATTTCTCTCGGGATCCTTTGTGAAGTGTGAAATAAATATTCCAATAAAATGTTTAGTAGAGTGTGTCTGGTTTCCAATTAAAGAAACATACTTGTATAATATCATGAATTCCTTCCACAAAACATTTCCTCTGTGTAGAAACACTTCACAATACATTTTAAAATAACCCTATTGTCAGGATAACTTAACAGCAGAGTGCCTGCTGAGTCCCCCTACCCTTACTTCCCCCAACACTCCCTGAGGAATAGTCTACACAGAATAACTTGATCTTGTCTGTATATGCAGTCAGCCAGCGTGGTTTGAAAACACTGTTAGTCATCCTACTAATGAGTATGTATCACCCCATAATCAATATGGCTAGCACACCACTAGAGTGATCGCATAAACCAATTCTGTCAAAACATACCGAATGATTACCTATGGCCACCATCTATCCATGGAGTATCTAGAATAGACTTGGACTTGTTTTTTTTTCTGTTTTCACCCCATTTCCTTTTGTCCCTTCCGTGCTTTTAATCTTCCTTTAAAGAATCCCAATCTCTCTCTTAGTAACATGGAAAAAACACAAGGAGGCAATCCATTTTCTGAATGGTGGAACCATACATTCAAAGCATTTAATTAGAGCTAATTTAAGAAGGTTTTCTTAGTCTTTAGGACAAAATCCCTCAAGGGAAATAGTGAGGCAATTGTTTGATGTCTTTCACTTGGTTTGTTGGCTCACCTTTGGTGTTCTTAGTTATGTCTGGAAAAAAATCAGACGGGTGGGCTTGTCTTGATTCTCATGGAAGCAGCATTGTCCTGACAGTCTGATCACTGTTCTAGAAATCAAGTTTTTCCAGCTCCAAGTTACTGACAAGTCTGTCTGCAGCTTTAAGGACAGCCTTGCTTAGAGAGCTATTTTCTTTGAAGTGGATGTCAAACTAACACAGTGATCATACTGTAACAACTCGGTTTTTTTTTTCCTTTATTAAAGCCACAGGTCGCAAGAAGTTATCTGGATTTCATGTGAACCATGAGAAGTGAGAATTTCCAAAGACTTTTTTAAAGGAACAAACTACCAAGAAATTTTTAATTGAAAAAAAAAAAAGATAACTGTGGTCATGTGACATGAACCTAAAATTCAATATATCATTTGAGAAACCTCATTAGGAGGCTAAAGTATCTTCCTGTGTATGATAGACCAAAGTCAGAATGGTAATTGACTAGAGTACAGGATTTTAAAAGAATCAGATTTGCCACTTTATCTCAGGTTGTCTTCTCAAGGGACTTTTTAAACTCCTCAATTTTGAAATGAAAACAAGAATAAAAATAATAGTGTAGATGGATGGCTATTGAGGCAGAACTTGAAGTCTTCTAATGAGAAATTATGCATTTTAAAAACTGCCAAATACTTTGAGTTTTACCAGTGTAGACATCACTTCACTGTGGGAAGAACCATTTTTAATTAAGTGGATGTAAGACAAATAGGCATCCATTGTTCTGGGGCAAAAGTGTATTAGGCTTCTTTTTAATTTTTCCCCTGCGACTGAAGCTGCTCCACTCTAAATCCCTTAGAATATGAAATTCTAAGAATGCTATGAGGGGGATGGACAAATTTCTAAGATGATTTCTGGAAAGAAAGTAATAGAAAACCTCACCCCTGTTTCCTTTGATGTTGCAGATTATTGAAACACCTTTAGCTGACTGAGGATGATATGGCTGAGGTTAGCTGGAAGTTTAGAATCCCCTGAAAAACTTACCACAAAGAATAGATTCTGGACTACAGAGTCAGGCTGCAGATTACGCCTGGGTTTTCTTAGGCATGGTTTTCTTCCATGGAAAACTTTCCTGAACCAACCACCTTGACACAGTGGGTTTGCCACAAAAAGAAAATAAATAAGTAAGCTGTGTGAGCACATATGTGTTGAGAGTGTGTGTATGTATGTGGCTGCATGATATTGGGTCCACTGTCTGCTGGCAAGGGGTAACCATGGCTGAGGTGACCACTGCTCAGAAGGCTTCGTCTCCCTACTCAGACCTACACCTTTGGAATCTCAGCAGGGCACAGTGAGAAAGCAGCACCATTTTCAACAGCCAACACCTACCCAGTGAAGCCAGAGACTGCAGACAACCAATCAACTGATTTCCTCTTGATGGAATTTGGTTATAATCTCAATTACCCACGGAATCTGAGATAGCCTCTGGATTATTGAGCTCTGCTAGAACAGTGGTATCCTTATAATGCTAAGATGGCTGCTCCAGGTCAAGCTGAATTGAATATTTAAAGAGATATGTCCCCATTTGGTTCTGAGGTTCATAAATGCTAGTGAATCTATGCAAAAATACATCATTTAACATTTATTCCAAGCTTACTGTATGCCAGACACAGCAGCAAGCACTTCACACATATTAACCTTCATCATGTCTTATTCTTATCTTCACCATGTCATGCTTTGACAAAAGATCACACAATCATTAAGTGAAAGGCAAGCATTCAAACTCAGTCCCATCTGATTCAAGATCAGTTTGGCAATATAGAAGAAATCAGCTAGTATTATCAATCTCAAATTTCAAATGCTATTATGAAAATCTCTTAGTAAAGAAAATAATAAATAGCTGCAGCCCTGTTCATTTAAGGCGTTAGCTACTTAATCTCTTAAAATCAATCCCCTAGGGAGAGTACTGATTTATTAGAGAAAAATGAATGCAGTACAATATAAACATTACATTTTCAGAGAATAATTTCTAAGAAATTCTAAGTGAAGATCAGTCAATGATGTTGTTAGTACACTTAATACTTTATCTTTCTATATATTTTACATTGTATAACCCACCCTCCCATATGTAATTTTAATTGCTTTCCATAGGCGGCAATTTGATTGGAATTAAAGTTTAACTTGCCAACTTAAAAAGGTTTGTTTCTTATTTCAAAAAAGAAAAAAAAGGACACTTTGGAAGTATTAGCAATAATCCAAGCAAATACCATTTTCCCCTCCTATTTTGCCACTTCTCTTATTGGTCCCACTATGCTCTCATTCAATCCAAGCTTAAAACACTGAGGTCACTTATCTTTCTCCTTCTTCTTTCATATTTATATACACACCAAGGCCTGTGACTTTTTACTTATTTAATTACCCCACATTCTTGAGGTGACTTTTCTTTCTAGATTAAATATTAGCCACCATAAATTCTACTAATGATCACCTCACACAATATACCAAGGCTCTTCTTAAGCTTGCCTATCTTCAGTCTTACCTCCTTGATCCATACCATACAATCCCAAAACTGACTCACCAAACACCATGTATATCAGTTTCAATGGAGCTCTTTTTGACTATTCAAGAATGTATTAAATCATTAGCCTAGTATTCAAGAAAACCCACAATGGAGCCCCAACCTGCATTTCTATCTCCCCTTCCACCTCTGTTCTCCTAAACTCATTCCTCTCCCATCTTTCAAAGTTCAACTTAGATCATATTTCCTATAGGAAAATGCTCTGACCACGCCAAATAAAATAGACAGTCCATTGTAAATGCAAGGTGTCTATTCCACTTATTTAGCACAAAATTATTTCATGGAATTACCAGTTTATTTTCCACGTATATATCTTTATTTGAACTAGACTGCAGAAACTTGAGAATAGGAACTACATCATGCATGTTGTTAATTCTTTTTTATTTTTTGAGATGGAGTCTGGCTCTGTTGCCCAGGCTGGAGTGCAGTGGCTCGATCTCGGCTCACTGCAAGCTCTGCCTCTCGGGTTCACACCATTCTGCCTCAGCCTCCCAAGTAGCTGGGACTACAGGTGCCCACCACCATGCCTGGCTAATTTTTGACTCTTCTTAATACATATATATTTATACTCTTAATATTGAGTATAACTTCTATATTGTATATAAATATACTGTATATAAATATTACTATTTCTGCCTCATAAAGTTCCATTTAACTTATTTTGGGAAACCCAACCCTTCATGAGATTTGTTTCCATGACCTTAAATGAAATAGAGTGATGGCAGCAGATTGGAACTAGTCAGGTCAAATTTAGCTCCTATTTTAGTTGTTACTTAACATAAAGCTCTCTTTTCAGGGCCTCATGGTGGAGTTCTGTTCGTCTCCATGTACAGAGTCTGTAATTGGCATAAATGTTCAGTGTCTACAGATGTGCCAAGTGTCACAATCTGACTTTGTGACTCAAATGGATTTTGCAGCTCATACCACGGAAAAAAAGACTATTTGATGACCAGTGACATCCCTTAAGCTGACAAATCACTTCCTTGTTATCCCTGGCATCTTCCACACCTAGCCCATTGCTAAGTGACAGCTCTAAGGGATGGTGAAAGTTGAAGCAAAAAATGAAAACCAATATCATTAATTTAAATACTGACAGGACTTAGGCAGACTGGAGTTTTCAGCCAGCCATTTTGAGACAGATATAGGATTTTGCTGTTAAAATCAAAAAGCTAAGTCCCATAGCTTTCCCATGTGGCAGGTTTTAATGCCTAAAAGAAGTTTTAACAGTGGCTCAGATGGTTGCTGGTCACATACACTGTGGCTTATAGTCCTCCTCTTAAATGGGTTAACATCTTCTTTAGCTTAGATGAGTATTATTGATATGAATTCTGCTATGTCACATTAAAAGGGCATAGTAGGGGTTTCACAGCTGAGATTCAAACATACTTTGGAGATGCTGTGGACAAGAGATCTGGGTGCTAGTCTATCTGCCCGAGGCAGTCTGGAACCTCTTGGAAGATAATTCTTTCTAAGCAAAGAAGGAATCAGGCCCAAAGCCTCAGCTGACAAAATCAACATGGTTTCTGTCATGCCATCTCCCCAGGGACTTATATCTGGGTCCGAAGAAGACAGAAGGCTGTGAGTAAAAATTAAACAACATTGGGGTGCAAGTTACTACTACTTTGAAAGAACCTCTAATAAAGGATAGCTCCCAAAATGGAAAAATTAGTCCCCAGCAGAAGAGGCAGCAGTGCGGGAGAGACTAATGTGAGCAGTCAGCAACACCTGCACCCAGAGGAGGTCGCAATGCCGTGTAAATGCACCGGCGGCGCCCAGAATACATCACACAGCTTATGATCAGTCTTGTTCATGAGCACATGGCAGTCACCCTTGTTGCCTTCTCAGAAATACCTGAGAAGGGTGATTAAAGGTGTTTAGAGGGCTAGAGTCTGGCAATGACCAGTGACAGCAGTGAAATATGGTAAAACTACCAAAATGACCCCATTTTTACTCAGGGTGCAATGAGTGAAAATAATAACAATATAGCTAATGTTTATTGAGTACTCTGAACAGACATTTTTTACTTAGTAGCTTATTTGATCCTCAAGTCAATTCTATGAGAAAGGTACTACTATCCTCTTCATTTTAGAGATGAGAAACCTGAGTCCTAAAAAGATGAAGTAATTGGCCCTAAAGCTAGGAGCTGATCAGTAATAGCCTAGATATTTTAATGAAGTTCCAGAGCCTGATGGATAGCCACAAGTAATATAAGCTACTTGCTTGCACTATGGAAGGAGCTAGGAGGGCTTGTTATAAAAGCTAAATACAAATTCTTTGTTTTAATAAAGGCTAAAATTGGTACAGCTGTTTAACATTAGCTAAGTATGTACTACAGCTAAGTAGGGGATAGGACCTCACTCTTAAAATGAGCCAGAAAAATCTCCATAGCCTGGTAAGGAAACATCCCAGAGCAGGCAGCCTGATATACAGCCAGATAGGCTGAGGCCAGTACAGGACTGTTCAGCACTCCTGCAGCTGCTGCCACATTGTCTTTGAGACTCCATGGGAACTGCTCACAGAGGCTGGGAATTCTTTTTTTTTGTTTTTTTTTTTTTGGATACGGAGTCTGCTTTGTTGCCCATGCTAGAGCGCAATGGCACTATCTCAGCTCACTCTGCCTCCCGGGTTCAAGCAATTCTTCTGCCTCAGCCTCCCAAGTAGCTGGGATTACAGGTGTGTGCCACCATGGCCTGGCTAATTTTTGTATTTTTTGTAGAGATGGGATTTCACCATGTTGGCCAGTCTGGTCTTGAACTCCTGGCCTCAAGTGATCAGCCCGCCTTGGCCTCCCAAAATTGATGGGATTACAGTCGTGAGTCACAGTGCTCACCTGGGGGGAATTCTTATTCCCTTGATGTGGACAGAGCTGGAGGTAGATACTCTCTGCATATTGGGAAGGCCACTGTTGGTACTTACCTGGGCTAGGCTTAAGGAGACTTTAATTCTTCCTGATTTTTCCTACAAACTTATTTTCTCACTCTAGGTATTAGTTTCCTTTGTTATAAAATGAAAGAGTTGGAACAGCTCACCTCTGAATTTCTGTGTGACAAAGAAATAAAGACTCTGAATTAGAAAACTGGGAAAGCAGTTTTTATATTTTTACTATAAACTTTTAGCAAGAAGGAAGGAAGGAAGGAAGGGAGGGAGGGATGGAGGGAGGGGTAGGGTAGGGGAGGGGAGGGGAGGGAGGGAAGGAAGGAAAAGAAAGATTAACACTTCA
The DNA here is from genome assembly GCF_000001405.40 of Homo sapiens. Lineage (NCBI taxonomy): Eukaryota > Metazoa > Chordata > Mammalia > Primates > Hominidae > Homo > Homo sapiens. The sequence continues at coordinate 110,925,342 of NC_000003.12, forward strand.
AAAATAAGCTAATAGAGGCAGGGGTTTAGGATTATAGTGACTCTAGTGACTCTAAGAAAGGTAAAACAGATGACAGAAAGGCGGAGAGGGGGAGAAAGAGAGAAGACATCCCAAAGTTAGCAGCTCCTAGAAAGGGGTGAAAGGTCTTCTCCAGGTTTTAATAGAAATAGATTAAACCTTTCCTTAGTGTGTTAAAACAGCCTGTAGGATATTTTATGGGCCAAGACAAATCACAGCCTTCTCCATTCAAGACCCAATGTACAAAAGAAATGAGGTGGAGAATACCAGGAAGGTTTAAAAGTGACTCTATCTGCTAACAATCAGGGACACGCTTCTTGACCTTGTAAACAATGGAACTTCTGGATTCATCTCCTTTAGAAGCCTTTGTCCCTTAGAATGTTTTAAACTAGGCTAGACAAAGAGTGCACTGTTTTAGAAATGTTCTATATTGTATTAAAGAGCTTATGGTAGAGAATGGTCTGATGGGGATCCCTGGGGTAAAGAACTGGGTGACCTATAACTTCTTTATTCTTGTGGATTTCTGCTATCTTAAACCTTTTGCTGCAAGTATCACGTCCCTGAGGAATGGGGAATTGAAATTCAACAGGTGGCTTGGCTGGCTCTTTCCAACAGATGTAGGAGACGCATGCCAAATATTCTGTCACCAACGTCACCTAAATCACATGCATGCGAGCTCACTCTTGCTCTCTAATAAACACACACACACACACACACTCATCACCTACACACTTTTCTCCTGCCCTGCACTTCTGGCAGGGGACTACAAAGTCAAAGTGAGGAAGAAGGCTTTGCTGCTGTGCAGTGTTTAGAGTTCCCCATGAAGTAAGACACAGGGAGAGGGCCAGTCATACTTCTTATCTCATCATTGCCCTAACAATGTACCCATTTTAGGATAGAAACCTCAACAAAAAAACAAAAAAAACAAGGCATCCTACAATGTATCAACCATGTAAGAATAAATTCACTAGGAATAACTCAATTCTCTGATCCTAAATACAAACAAAAACAAAACAAACTACCAGCTAAACAAACTGAACTGAGATTATGCTACTCTCTGTTACCATTTTAGTGTCATATAGATTCTATAGGCTCCAATCCTAGAAAATGCCTAAAAATGATGCTGGATATAGAAAATTGGGTGGTATGGGGAGGAGAGTGGAAAGAAATCATGTAGCTCTGATTTAGTACATGTCATCATGTTTTTTATTGAATATCTGGTATGCACTGAGCAAAATATTACCCTCGCCCTCAAGGGGCTTTGAGCTCATTAAAAAAAACTGGACACGTAAATAGCCAATTAAAATGAAACAAAGTACTTTTATTATTGAGGCAAAGCAAGCATGGTAACACATAGGAAGGATTTTGATTGTGAGGTAATGGTTAGGGTAATCAGAGAAAGTTTCACAAATGGAGGAGGTTAAAGAGGAAGAAGAAGAAAATAATTTTTTCTTGCTTAATAGTCTTATCCCCAATTTACAGATTAAAAATTAAAGCTCACAAGAATTTAAAAACTTGCCCAAGATAGCTGAACTGAACTACAACAGACAGTTGTGTACAGACCTCTCTGTGTTGAATGCCATGCCATCATACCAAGGAGACAACTTTGAACTGATCCATCAAGATGTAGAAACATACAATAGACGGAGATAGAGAGATCAACATGAATAAAGAAACAGGGGAGTAAAAGTGCATTGCAAAATTTGAAATCTAATGAGGTTGAAGCATCAAACACATGGGTGGATACAGAAGATGAGACTGGAAACATTTCAAGTGGCAAATGTAGACACAAAAAGTTCATATCTTAGAAAAATATAAATCATAGTCACTCTCCCAATTGTTCATCTATGTCTCCTCCTCACTCTGATCAATCTTGATTTAAGAAAACTCCACTATATTGAAGGCATATGTGTTAGATACTCAATACTCACTAGATGGCTAAAATTGTTGGGGTTGGCGTTGTTTTTAACAATCAGATGAACAATAAATTGAATATTTTAATATTTAATATGTAAATATTTCTTGAAGAAAGAAAAGGAAGGAGGGAAAAGAAAAGAATAGGAAAATAGAGCCTAAAGAAATCAAATCCATAGATTACTCTCATGCTCTTATAGTCTTCAAAGTACTTGAAATTCATCATGCTCTTACAGTCTTCAAAGCACTTGAAATTCTATCATTGGCACACGTTAACCTACTGATAAAATTTTAGAAAATGGGGTGGGAGAAAGAAGTCATTTCATATACAAAATTTATACTAAAAAATACCAGAAAAATGAATTTCTCTTCAGCTGCTGCCATAAATTCAACTTACATGGAAACTTCATCAAATTTGCCCTAATTTCCAGGCTTCTCAAAATACTTTATCTCATGACTCAATTTATTCTCAGGCTATGATTATACCAAGTATGTACTAAGTATACACGAGATGTACATTTAGTTATAATATGATTATTGTAGTCAAATATATACTATATGTTAAAAATCATTATATATATGATAATCAAATATTAACAAATAATAACTCAACAAATACCCAATTTTTCCTTTTCAGAGACTAATTTTCTAAATGTATGTTCCTTAGTATTACTTTATTATTTCTAGAATACGTATGTTGTTTGTATGCCTTACCGTCTCTATTAAATATCAAACAAAATTGTTTTCCATATTTCCCTGCCAAGTCAAGAGAAATCCAGAAATTTACTAGGTTTCTATTGACACAGTAAATGTAAGATAGAAATCTAAAGGTTCTTAACATTGTTTATGCTGAAAATGTACCAAATTCTATTCTCAAAGGACACTGACCTGTAAAAAGTATTTGTCTTGCTTTGGTAAATACAAGCCCTATGTAAATGGATATCTCAACTTGAACTGAAGATTGCTTTGTTCTAATCAGAACTGATGTATCAGATCACTTCAATAGTGTCTTTGTTTCAAAGAAGAATCATCCATTCCCCAGATTTCTATTGCAGTATATGGTACCTCAATAAACTCAAAATGAATAAAGAAAACACAGTAATGTGTCACGTAATGACAGGGTTATATTCTGAGAAATGCATTGTTAGGTGATTTCAGCTTTGTTCAAACATCATAGGGTGCACTTAACACAAACTTAGATGCTATAGCCCATTACACACCTAGCCTATATGGTATAACCTATTGCTCCTAAGCTACAAAACTGCACAGCATGTTATTGTACTGAGTACTGTAGGGAACTGTAACACAATGATATTTGTGTATCTAAACATAGCTAAAACTAGCAAAGGTACAGTAAAAATACAGTACTTTATCTTATGAAACCACTGTCTTATAATCGGTCTGCAGTTGAACAAAATGTCAGGATGTGGAGCATGACTGCAGAATTTTGTAATTCTATAAAATAAATGTCTCTCTGAAGATAAATCATAATAAAAATATAATTTTTTGAAGTTGTCATCCTCAAAAATAGGCTCCTAAGAAACAAAAATAACCAACAACTTTCAAAATGGATTTTGTTCAGTCCTGCAGCCCAGAAGATCAAGTATCCAAAGGCATGGTGGGTACTCAATCTCCAAGATTAGCAGCTCTATCAGGCCTGTGGCCTTGTAAGAGACTTAAAGGGTATTGGGGATCTAAATTTTCATTTAGCATCCTATCAGAATAACTTTTTTCACTTTTTCTCCCCCTTTGATCTGTCTACACCAAACCAAAATATGAAATAACATGTCCCTTAAAAACTCAGCTCAAGTGTCACCTCAATGGCAGGCAAGTGCTCCTTTAAGTACCAAGTTCCACTTAAATGTCTCCCCTCTGTGCTGCCATAGCTTCTTATGTACAACTCTGAGGCTGAATTTACTTACTGTACCCTATAGTTTTTGACTTACTATCTACTTGTCCTTAAGAACAAGGAGTATGACTGACTCAACATTGTTTTCCCATTGCCTAGCTCAGAATGTGGAACAAAGCAGCTGCTCAATAAATGTTTGTTTAAATGAATAAATGACAAATAAACAATATCTATTCACTTAATAGGTAGTTCACTCTGCATACGTGCTCAAAATTGTATCCTCAGACCTTTCTATTTATTCCCTATCCTACATTTCAATGTTATACAAAGATATTCGAATTTTGGCTTCTGCGCATAATCTGACACATTTTGGTTTTCAACATTATAATGTGTATCAGATAATACATCTCACCAAAAGGGTTTTAAAAAGCAAAAATAAACATACATTTTACCTAAATATTACTTGAAACAACAGCAAGGACTTCTGAACACAATGATGAATTGATAATCTGAAACTCAGTGATTGTGTTCCACTGTGACTTGGGTATATAATTCTTCAGGCAAGGGTCTGTCAATAGACAGCTTCAAAAAATAATGAATGTTTGCAGTAATAATTTCATGGGTTGACTGAAACTTAATAGCCTTTATTTCCAATGTAGGTTTCTGATATGTTCCAGTGGAAGCAGTCTCAAATGAAATATAGTCTATTACAGTACTATTTAACCCTCTATTATTTTGTTAATCCTTTTTTGGTATTTTATTTGGTTTTATGTTTTCAGCTATGGCAGACTGTGTTAGCCACCTCAGTTTTTACTTTGCTGCATCTATCTCAGCCTTTCTCAGTCTATTCTCCATTACCCAAGAGATGCCTATCTAGTGACTAATTTTTCCTGAGTGATGAGGACCCTGCTTCATCTTGCTACAGCCAATCTCCCTCTTGACACTTTCACTATTCAAGCATCATATCCAGCAGAGGATAAAGGAGGAAACAAAAAGATAAAGGCTAACTTAATTTGTCCTGCTTATTGTCAGTAGTAGAAAGGTAAAGACTCACATTAATAAAAGTTTTTGGTGTTCATAGCTGTGGAAATGTTTGACTACCAGGAATACAAAATTTGAGGGGTTTGGGTGCGCAGACCTACATATATATACACAGAGAAAACTGAGCAACTTGTTACCAGGTACAGAGTACAATCTTAGCATTTTGAGGGAGGAAGAAGTGAGACAAAAGCAAGGTTACTATTGAAACCCTTGGGTTGCTAAGTATATAACATACAACAGAACGTACTTGCAAATAATGGTTCTTATTTAGGAGTATGCGTCTAGTCACTTGAGCTGGTTTTGCAAAAATACACACAGCTAGTGTCTACCCTAAAAGAATGCACCCAAAGCTCCAGAGGTTGCCTAAACACAAGTATTTTAAAAACAATATATCAAATTATCCAGATGAGTCTGATGCAAATTTTAAATAATAACAAACCACTGCTTAATTATTGTCCACATAGTGCCAAAACGAATTAATTCAATAAAAATTAATAAAATAGTTTAGAATAGTTAAATGACAAAAATTCCTTGGCAAGATGTTTTCTTTGGGTCCTCTGCCTGTGCTCATGGCGACAATGGCTAATATGCTTTTCATGATACTGATGCACAGTGAAGTGTCTAATACCACAGACTCATTCTGTAAGAGAACAGATCAAGTCAATAAACATAGCAATCACCTTCAATTACCATTATCTAAACTAGACTAAAAAAATCACACATTTAATTAAAACTAGAATGAGGTATCACCTCACACTTGTTAGGATGGCTATTATAAAAAAGACAGAAGATGACAAGGGTAGGCAAAGTTGTGGAGGAAAGAAAATCCTTGTTTATTGTTTGGTGGGAACATAAATTGGTAGAGCCATTATGAAGGTTCCTCAAAAAATTAAAAATGGAACTATACAATATGAAAGTCCCAATTCTGGGTATATATGCAAAGGAAATCAATATCTGGAAGAGATATCTCACCCACATGATCACAGCAGCATTATTCACAACAGCAAAGATGTGGAAACAACCTAAGTGTCCATTGATGAATGAATGGATAGAGAAAAATGTGTTTATATATACTGTATATATTACATATTGTGTATGCAAAGGAATATTATTCATCTATAAAAAACAAGAAAATCACACCATTTGCAATAACATAGATGAGTCTGGAGGACATTATGCTAAGTGAAATAAGCCAGACACAGAAAGACAAATACTGTATGATCTCACTTATATGAGTAATCTAAAAAAATTATAATTTATAGAAGCATAAAACAGTGGTTAGCAGGGGCTGGGGCATGAGGAAAATGGGGAGACAATTGTCAAAGGGTACAAACTTTCAGTTAAAAGATAAGTTCTGGAAATCTAACATACAGCATGGTGACTATAGTTAATACTGCATTGTTTACTTGAAATTTGTTAAGAGAGGAGATCTTAAGTGTCCTCACCCCCCCAACACACACATACACACATGCACACACATATACACAGATATATACACATATAAATGATATACACATATAAATGATACACACTAAGTATGATAGTGGATGTGTTAATTTGATTGTGGTAAACATTTCACAATGTACACATATATCAAATTATCACATTGTACCCCTTGAATATACATAATTTTTATCTGTCAATTAGACTTTAATAAAGCTGGAAAAAAAAACTTGTGACCCTAAAAGTATCACATATTTAGACAAAATTTCACCAAGAGCACATGTTAAACTCTGTCTTAGTCCATTTGGGGCTACTCGAACAGAATGTCACAGACTGGGTAATTTATAAAGAACAGAGGTTTATTTCTTCCCATTCTGGAGGCTGGGACGTCAAAGATCAAGGTACCACATGTAGTGCGGGCCTTCTTACTGTGTCATAATATGGCAGAAGTCATCACACATCAAGAGAGCAAGAAATCAGACTGGCAGCCTCGAAGCCCTAATGCCCTCATGAATGGCATTAACCTATTCTTGAAGGTAGAGCCCTCGTGACCCAACCACCTACCAACACTGTTTCATTGGGGATTACATTTCTAATGCATACATTTTGGGGGCACGTTCAAATCATAGCAAATCCAATGAATGGACTATAATAAAGAATGAGAGTTTTTTCAGAGTTCCTTTTTGCCTGCTCTAGAATTAATGAGGTACCTATACAAACCTAGTAAATTATTAATTTATGAAAGTGAAGCTATAATAATTATACTAAACTACAGTATCCAGAAGATACTACTAGAAAAGATTTAGGCTATCCAGGATATGTTTCTTTTATTCTAGAGTTGATGACAAAGTAATGAGAGTAAAGAGACAATGACAGCAATCTCAGAGGAAAGCTGTTTTCAATGGAAACATAACATCTGGGATGGGGTTAATAAAAGAAAATGGTTGATCTCTTTGATTCCAGTAAAATGACTCCTCTGCTGAGCAAAAATTTAAGGGGAAAAAACACCAAAGAGTTGACCTCTCTACCAGAGTGATTCTCTGGACAGAAATCAAGAATGCTTCTATGTTCTCAACAGCACTCATCATCTTGCTGGCCTTCAGTCAGTGTTAATAATTATAACATGTCTGTCCCTACTGTGACCTCTGAGAGAACTTGTCTTCCATGTCCCTTCTCCTGAGAAGACCATCGTTTTCTCTCTGCTCCAGGGCCAGCCCACTTCCTTAGACAGGGATGATCTTCATCCAAATCCAGACCATTCCTACTGGCAGCTCTTGTCTGGATCCAACTGGTCTCAGCTGGAGGTCCAGATGGCTCATTCCTCATTCCCCAGCAGGGTTTCAGCAGCATCCACCCCTTCCTGATCTCTCTGCCATTAGTGCCATCAGGCTTAATGTTTTCCCTAAATTCTAACAACAGCTTAGTAGAGCATTTATTCCCAAGAATAGAGTCAACTTTAGAAAAGATGAAATAACTTTATACAATATAATGAGGTCCAATTATGGAGTATTCTAAAAGTTGATTTTTATTCATAGCATTTCCTAGATATACAAATGACCCTTATACCTATATATCTATATCTTGAATTGATCTAACAAATGACAGACAACTATGTCAAACTGATAGATGAACAGAAACTGTTTGAAAAATACCATGTGTAGAGATATAGACATATGTATATATAGATATCTATATCTACAGCTACATCTATACAGATAGATATAAAATTTTCAAAACTGACAATAGACACTGTTTAAAATATTATAGATAGATACATCCATGTTCATCTACCCATATGAAGATTTTTAAAGAGTTTCTGACAATTTGTCAGTTTACCTGTGGTTGCCATAACATGTAAGGCAAGCTAGCTATAAAGATTTTCACCAAATTTAAAGAGTGAGATGAGTGGGATGATTTAAAGAGTGGGATGATCTGACTTAAAATATACACTCTGTCAAATGCCAAATTCAATCCAGGAGGCTTTCTAAGGTAGCCAAAACTGAGGATGGCTTTTTACCTCATTTGAAGTACAGGTAACCTCTGAACAACACAGGGGTTAGGGATGCTGACCCTCACGCAGTCAAAAACCTGGATATAACTTTTGACTCCCCAAATACTTAACTACCAATAACCTACTACTGACCAGAAGCCTTATCGATAACATAAAGTTGATTAATGCATTTTGTATGTTACATGTATTGTATATTGTATTCTTACAATAAAGTAAGCTAGAGCAAAGAAAATGTTATTTAAAATCATAAAGGAGTGAAAATAAATTTGTAGTACTGTACTGTATTTATCAAGACCATAACATTATATCATCTGTTTACAAGATGAATCATCTGTCTGAAATGGCAGGCAACCATAGCTGCGGACCTTAATCTAAGGCACACATCAAGCAATTCAACTTTTTCTGCTAATATCATGACTTTGCTTCTTGGGAGCACTTCTAGCATCACTTATGGCACTTCATATGGGTCCCATAGTGTTACTCAAGTTTTATGGTATTGCACTAAGCACGATGAAGAATATTGAAGAACCATGATAGATCACTTTTTACTGCAGTATGCAATTTACTGGAGAGACAATCTGCGCATGTGGAAATGATTATCATCACATGATGTTTTTAAGAGTATACTCCCAACACCTGGGCTCAATGTGCTAGCAATAGGAAGTGCCTATGATATTATTACAGTAGCATGGTATGTACTGCAGTTAATTTTATACATCTGTGATTTAATATTGCATCTTTACATTTGTTTACATTTCTCTCAACTATGAATAGTGCCATATATGGCCTGCGTTTATTTGTATATGTTTTGATAAATTTTAACTTTTTATTGTAGATTCATGTATATGTTAGGGAAGTAAATGATAAAATAAGCTAGTATCTACATATATTTTAAACACTCACAACATGTCTAATTTTTTCTTCATTTTTCAATGTTTCTAGGCTATGAGGCTATGCCTGTGAGTTTTTTCAAACTGTCAAAAGTCTCCAAAAAATTTTTTAATATATGTACTGAAAAAATTCCATGTGTAAGTGGATTCACACAGTTCAAACCTGTTGTTGTTCAAGGGTCAACTGAATACATTTAGGATGCTCTGAATTAAGATGTGGGTTACATGGATTACACAAATTTCACTTTTTGAGCCCCAAAGAACCCCTCAGTCATCTTTCAGAACAGATGAATTGAGGAAATTGTTAGTAGTTTCTTACAGCTGCTATACAAAAAATTACCACAAACTGAGTGGCTTAAAACAAATTGATCTCATACTGTTTTGGAAACTAGAAGTCTGAAATCAGGATGTTTCCATGCTTCCTCTAATGGCTTTAGAGGAAGCTTGCTTCCTTGCTTCTTCTATCTTTACTTGCTTCTTCTATCTTTTGGTGGTTGCTGGCAATCCCTTGCATTTCTTGCCTTGTGATAACATGACTCTAATCTCTGCCCCTGTCTTCACATGGTCTTCCTCCCTATGTCTCTTCTGTGTCTTCAAATCTTTCTCACCTTATAAGGACACTAGTCACTGAATTTCGGGCCCACCCTCAGCCAGTATGACCTTATCGTAATCTGGTTACATCTGCATCACATTCACAGTTTCCAGGGATTGAGATCTCAATGTATCTTTTTGGTGGACACAATTCAACAAACGTGAACCATGTGCCCAACATGAGTGGAGAAGCCACCTTATGCCAGGCTCCAAACAACAATCTAGGAAGATGGGCCCCAGGATATAAGATGCTATGAACACAGAAAACAAATAGGACTGCAATTAGAACTCAAAAATAATAAAGAAAAAATTACTGTCCAAACTAAATTACTTGTGATAGTGGCAGGGAGTACAATTAATGTCAGGACAACAGATATAAGCCAAACTATCCTTAACAAACTGTAATGTATGGTCACTTTAGCCCTAAAGGGAAAAATCACAAAACTAGACTAGGGAGTATTATTCTGCACTTGAGTGCTTCTGGAATGGGCAATGCCATATATGGTGTTCTAGACTGAGGCATACGAAGAATTTATATATTTAACGATAGATAATAATTTCCTTGGAGCAATACTAGCTAACTGAAATAAATAAATTGTTTGTAAGTACTAGAGTGTTTCAGTTTACCTCATAATCTGCAACTGTTTTTGCTGTGAACTTCTCCATGTATTTATAAATAGACTTGGCTACACTTAAGTCCAAATCTCATATTTTCAATTTATGTTAGAAGCTTTCAAAGAACTGTTTCTATGTTGTTCTTCCCCAGTATATTTTACCACATTTGGCAGGAATGTTACTGATTAATTTTCCTGAATCTTGTTTCTCAAGCCACCAAAATTAAATCTACCATCTAAATACTTAAGGATAGAATCAGTGACTGCACAGTAAGTGCTTAGCTATCCAAAGTCACTGAAATTCAAACACAATAACAGAATGAGAAGTTATGCTTTTGTTTTAATTTTTGCAGGAAAAAAATGTTTTAAAAAACCCAATCAGATGATAGTTTATCTTAAAAAGTAGGTCATCTCCCAGAATCAAAGGATGACTATTTAATTAACTAGAAGCTAGAAATCCCAAAGAGGGTAAGCCACTGTGTGTCTCTCATTAGAGGTTAGCATTTTAGATATTTTATAAACCTAGGTGGGTCCTACCTAATAATAATCAATTACATAGTTTATGGAACCCCCATTACCTAAACATATGTTAGTTACTATGATAGTTACATAAAAATGAAATGCCACAAGTCTACAGACATTTTTATTGAATACTCTGGATATACTTACACATATAACTAGAAAGATGTAATAATAAACTGATGACCCGGTTAAAAATAAGAGTATTTTAGTCCCAGCTACTTGGGAGGCTGAGGCAGGAGAATCGCTTGAACCCGGAAGGCGGAGATTGCAGTGAGCCGAGATTGCGCCACTGCACTCCGGCTTGACAACAGAGAGACTCTGTCTAAAAAAAAAAAAAAAAAAAAGAGTATTTTAAAGCAGGAGGCCACTCAGTATGGACTGGAATTATAAGGAAATTCTTAGAGTAAGTGTTGTAAGTGCTATTCCTTGAGGTAAGATGGTAGAAGAGAATTTACTAAGAGGGAAAAAGAATGTGCAAAGGCACAGAGGAGAGAAGAAAGAACTAACGTTTATTAAGTAACATTACATTTTAGGCAGAGCACTGGACACCTGACTTACATTATTTAACTTGATCCTCACAGCAAGTCTAGGAGGTAAAGTATAAGTGATAAATAAATTGTAAAAGTAACACAGCTGGAAGGCAGCAGAGAGAATATCTGAGCAAGGATTGTCTGAATCCAGAACCTACTTTTGTGCTGTACACCATGGTACCTATTCCAGATAATAAGGAGACTAGCCTAGTAGGAGCCAAGACTTACTGTTGGAAAGGAGTGGGCTCTCCCAAGCAAGGGGAACCTCAGCTCTCTGGGAATAGGCAATGCACTGAGGTAAACTTTCCTAGTTTGGAAACTGGCACATAATTTCCATTTTCTCTTCTACAACTATTTAAAGAAATTACTGTAAAATTTTAGTTATTACAAGAAAATGTGTGAAAAAAGTGACTTTACACAGCTGCCTGTGGGAGTAATTTTTAGCAGCTTGAATTTATATTAATATAAGCTAGAATGTAAGTGTAAATGTGATAAGTCAGTACTGCCATTTGGTATAGTTCAGGGTCATTTTTCTTTACTTGTTTGACATCGGTTATCAGATGTTTTCTTCTTTTCACATACAAAGGACCATACAGGAAAGGATGGAAAAAAATAATCACTTGGCTCTTCTTAGGGGTTTTTTGGCTTGGCTATACGTTCAGTGGTGAAGGTTTTCAAAGCTTTCAAGTAGCCTATATAGGAATGGATAGTCTATATAGGAATGACTAACTACCAAAGAACAAGAAAGGTTCCTGTATAAAGAAATGCTTTAAACTAACAAAACTTTAATGTATACTTTCTCGTTGATGGATAAGAATCTACAGGTTTCTTAATTCACAGTGACAAAAGGAGCTACGGATGCCATCTTTTTATCTCCACATGTGGGACCTTGTTTCTACCAGTTAATTAGTGTTGGTAACCCACGTGATATGCTACAATAAAAATGCTATACAATATACATAGGTGTTGGTGAATGTATTAGCAGCATTGTTTGCATTTTCTTGCATTGAAATATGGATTCTTCTTAATGTGCTTCATATTCCTTAAGGTGAAGATTTTTTAGCAGGGTAAGTTTCAACTCATTTAACTCAAGGTTTTACAGGAAAACCTGAGTAGCTAATAATGTGTAAAGATGTTTCTCTCCAACCTCTTGGATTGGGCAAATGTGCACTGCATTAACTCATAAACAGGTTAAGAGCAAACCAACTTTCCTTCCTCTGAAATATGCTGGAGAAAACTGTCTAGGCAAAGTAAAAGGGGGAGGTGGAAAAAGCTAAATGCTTCTACAGAGTTACTGGACAGAGTAAAAGAAAAGCTCTCTCAAATCTAAGAATGCTAGCTCATTGGAAGACATTTTACTAGGTTATAGATTCTATGCTAGTCATTCAAGATACGACTTGAACATGACAGACACAGAGCCTGCAATCTAGCTGGGCAGGCATACAATGAAGCCAGCAATAAAAGTAGTGTCATAAGCATTTTTCTATGACTTGGGATATCAAGGAATATTTTTTAGAGACGTAATATATGAAGGTGAGTTATTTAGATGAACATTTGGGGTAGATTACAACAAAGTGGGAAATTGGTTTATTGGGGATGTTCCAGGCAAAGATAACCATATGTTCAAGGGCCTATGGCACATCCATACTATAATCAAGAAACTAAAAAATGTTCAGTATGCCTGGAGCATAGAGAATTCCTCTTATAAGGCCTGCTTCATATAAATACATTGAATGGACATAGCTGTGAGCCTTCCTCTCAAAGAGGTTAAATCCATTTGGGCAGATAAAACTAAATTGTGACTCAATCAAGGATTAACTACATAGAAAAGAAGTGTTCAAAGATTATTAAATCAGTCAGAGAAAAGGAAACCTCACCTCCCTTTCTCTTCTCTTCAGTATCTCTGTGAACTATAAAAGAAGTTCTTTGAAAATGAAGAACAGGAACCCATGTAACTCAGACTTCTTAGAAGAGGTTGAAAATTTGTCTGAGTATGAGTATGCTCTCTGGTAATCTTACAAGAGGTAAATCAAAAGTATGCAAGGAAATACTAGTGAATGTCAGTATTTGACTGAAGGTAGGAGCATGTGATGAAGAAGCCACATGGCAAAAGCATCAGGTAACCTAGGAGAGGGCAAGAGTTGGTCAAGAATGCAGTGAGTCAATACATATGGCTCTTTGATCTGAGTGGGAGTTCAGTAAGTGGACTGGAAAATTACAACAGAATACAGATAGATATATAGATAAATACATATGTAGATATATAGTAAAGAGGATAATTTTATTATTCTCTAGGGAAATTCTGAGACCTAGCACAAAACTACTGGGGAAAAGTGGGTCCTGAGATCTTTTTAAGTGTCAAATCCCTTATAACCCTGTACAAGTTGTAAGAAACTCCAGCTGCTTCCATCCCCAGGAAAGATTAAGCAGCCACATCACCATTCACTGGTCAATTTTCATAAGGCTTACCTATCACCCACAAATGGCTCATTTTCCTTAAGAGGATTATTAGACACTTGAGTTAGTCAAGAGGTTAGAGACTCCAGGCTCATCTACTTATCCTCCTTTCTTGGTGCAGACTTAGTGCTCTTTTTTGTGGTAGTAGAGGTTACATCACCCAAGGTATCTCTGGGTAGGTCTATCAGCAAGAGGATATGTGAAGCCTGCTATGCTGATCTTTCCTCTGTACAGTTTAGATGGTCAAATGTGTTTGTCTTAGAAATAAGAAAATAGGACAAAGATGAGGAAGAGAAAAATGAAGGGTATGGAGTAAGCTACATACAAGTATAAATGAGGAGAAAGAATATACAACAAAAACATGAAAGACAGGGCTACAAAGGTATAAGGATACAAAGTGAGGAAATAATTGGTTAGGTGAAGTATTTGTGACTATCATTTATATAAACTTTCATGTGTAGCAAATGAAATTATATGATGTTTTAGGGATACATTTGTAACTAAGTTTTTAAAACTGACTGGAAAAATTACATTCCATTCATAAAATGGCCCCCTCTGTGAGGGAAGTAGGGAGAAGAACGGGACTGGGAAAATGAACCAAAGAATGTCAATTTTATCTGTACTTTAAGTCCAATGCAAAACATGACAACAACCACATTTGTAAATTCCAGGTGAGTACTTGTGTGTTTGTTATATTACTCTCTATATTTTTAGAACGTGTGTTCTTGTCTTGTTTTCTTAAACTTTTTAAAATAAAAAGTGAGAGAGAGATGGAAAGGATTTTGAGGACAAAATGTGATATAGCAAGGTGCATGGTCTTAGCCACTAATTACCAGCCAAGGGAGACAGACAAGTATCTAATGTCACAGCATCTGGAAGTGACTGGAGGGCAGTTTCTCACCCAGACTAAGGAGAATGATGTTTGGTTTCCCTTCTAGTCTTGGTATGTTTTCCCTAACACCACCTTCATGAAACACTCTGGTTGCTTTGCAATTGTTGTCTGTAGCTCAGCTTTGTTTACTTTCTGAGGTTGCTGATTAACTGACATGTTTTCTGTCAAGTGAAATTTACAGACACATTACCATGTTTGACAGGCACTGTGAGCTAACGTACAAGAATTTCTTGAGGAGCAAAGTTTAGCATGCACTATTGGAGGGCTTTTATAGTCATCTAGCTAAGGTGGTGCTCCCTAGGTCTATTCACACCACTGGTTTGAAAAGTTAAAATTCCCTCAGTTAAAATTCTTATTTATCAGATGTCTGTATTTCCAAAAGGAACTTTTCTTGTAAATCAAGATGAGGGTATAAGTATAATAGATACTTTGAACAAACATTATTACTAATAGGGTATGCTTAGCAAGCAAGAGAGCTGCTTCACATCATATGAGAGCAATGTTTTTAAAGCTTCAAGCCAATAAGTTTCCCAGGACTCTAAATAATTGCAGAGCTGGGAAAAGAAAAACTGAGGTACTTTGAAAGACAAAATAATAGAGGCAAGTACATAGAAAACAAATTGATTTGTGTATTTTATTGTGCAGGAGATATAGTAGCCCAACGAAGTAGATAGGTTAATGAATTTCCTGGGGTCACATACAATGAGGTTAACAACAGCAGATAGAATCAATGGATAACCCTACATCTGAAGGGGAAAATGACATACAAAGTAATTTTTAGATATCCTTCAAGCACAGAGGGAGCCTTGAATATAAAATTCAGAGTGAGAAAGTTTCACTGAAGATGAGAGGAAAGTGGGATTCTGTGATTTAAGGAATACATACTTTTTGCCTATTACAAGCCACATCAATACCCACTATCAGCCCACTAGCCCCTACTTACCAGAAATAAGGCAAAACGTGGCTGAGGGTCACGAAGTAATGCAGATTATAATTTATCACTTCTAGGTCTGTTACTTAGCTACCGAAATAGCCTGTCTTCTTATTCATATATTCTCAGCTGCCTCATTAGCAGTTACATACATATATTTGAGTGAGTTCTGAGGCTGAAGTAGAGACCAAGAAACTATTACATGGATACAATTAAAGAAAAACTGAGTTCTTAAGATACAATCTATGACCTGGGCTATGGTCTGGAAGTACTGAAAGAGTACATTCTTGCTTTGGAGTACTTCTGGCCCAGGTTAGAAATTTCACTAGTAGAACTGGAAGCAAAGGAACAACAGATCAGTCACCTGAAAGCAACTGGAAAATAGAACTGTTTCTGTGATGGTTTTGTGCTAAAGAAGAGGCAGGTTTGTTTCCTAACTGATAAAAATGGACAGTTAAGCTGCCAATCTTCTAACCTTGTTGTAAATAACATGTTACATATGTGATCATGTGCATCCATATATGTTACACATACACACATATAGAAATATCATTCCCAAATATATTTATGTAAGTATAAATTTATTAAGGAAATACTAGTACTTTGATCCAGTAAGGGCCAAGTACTACAAAACCATGGCATAGTTTCTCTCATTACTAAATGAGTCAAAAAATAAAAAAAGATAAGCACAATAAAATTGAAACAAGAACTGGACTTCTGGCAGATGCTTCTCTTATGTGATGTTTCTTCTAAAAGGGATGAAATGCAGATGAAATTAAGAAATGAGAGTTTAAATGTGTTTTGTATAAATGTGAGGAGTAAACATGTTGAGCAGCTGAATTACTAGCATATGTGTTGAAAGAGAAGTGTGATACTATTTGAAGAACTAAAATTGGAGATGAACAACGACAATGACCAAGAAACAAATTGTCTAGGTGTTAGTTTCAATATAGGAGATGAGAAACAGAACAAGAGGCTAGAGAGAGGATATGGGAAATGCTCTGAACCAATTATATTTGGCAAGTATTTGAGAAATGTGTAGGGAGAGGAAGGTAGGTTAAGTGCATGATAAAAAGAAGGGAAGAGCGAGAAGCCCATACCAACATACTTTCTTAAGCAATCAATTAAATACAATTTCAAGTTAACTTGTAATCATGATGTTAATATATGGTTAAAAGGACCAATGTGGCCAGGCATGGTGGCTCATGCCTATAATTCCAGCACTGTGGGATGCCGAGGCAGGTGGAACACCTGAAGTCAGGAGTTCAAGACCAGTCTGGCCAACATGGTGAAACCCCATCTCTGCTAAAAAGTACAAAAAACATTAGCTGGGTGTAGTGGTATGTGCCTGTAATCCCAGCTACTCAGGAGGCTGAAGTCAGAGAATCGCTTGAATCTGGGAGGCGGAGTTTGCACTGAGTCGAGATTGCGCCACTGCACTAGGCAACAGAGTGAGACTCCATCTCAAAAAAAAAAATGGACTGATGCAAGTAGCAAAGTAGATGAGGAAGAAGCATGCTATTTGGTAACCAGTACAAATGTTTATATCATGACATCTTAGTTATCCAAGGTGGCATCCCTTGGAAGATGATGGGTGGGTCTTACAAGTGAGTAATTAATGTAATGAAATATTATCCCCTTAAATCTCATTACAAAACACTGTAATTATTTTGTTGAAAATCTAACTGAAGAGCAAGATGGTAAATTAGGAAGTATCAGGCTTTATTATCCCCCAAAGAAAGTTCCATTAGCAACTATCCACAGACAATAACACCTTGGTGAAAACTCCAAAAATGGGAAATAAGCCGGAGTCAGCTGCATGGATGATCCACGGAACAGAATAAAAACCACATAGGAAAGGTAAAAGAAATGGTCTCAATCTGACCATGTCTTCCTTCTCCCATCTCCAAGTCAGTGCAACATCACACAGAGAGGATTCCCCAGGGACCATGGTCTTGACAGGGTGAAAAAAAGAACCAAAGGCCCACATGCAGATTCCCTAGCATTCCCAGACGCTTCCCAGGAAACTGCTCTCACCTAATGGAGAATGCAGGGGAAAACAGCACAGCAAGACTACCTGGAATCAGGTAGAAATAAAGCAAGGAAGCAAAGCCCATAGCAACCAGCATGCAGATCTTGGTGGTAGCTCTGTGTACCTGCCAGCAGTAGTGTCCAATCAAAGGTACCAGCTAACAGCACTGACCACCCAAAAACCCAAGCCAGTTGCTCCCATAGGTGGTGGGTGGTGAGAAGTTCTGCCTGGCTTGAATCCCCAGACAGCTAGGCTTCTACACTATTGCAGGACCCCAACCAGGGAGGGAGACAACTACTGAAGCCATCTAGAGAACCCAAAAGCAACTCTACCCGCCCTGGGTCATTACCAGTTGGCCCATCCTGAATCACAAACTAGACTAAATAGTGAAGACCTATTCCTGTCAAAGAACATCTGTAAAATCCAGAAAAGTTGGCTGTGTCCTCAAATGCACAGAAACCAACACAAGGACACGAGGATTAAAAAGACTCAGGAAATATGACACCTCCAAAAGAAACTAAACTAGCAAAGCTTCAATAAAGAACCCTAAAGAAATGGAGATCCATGAAATGACAAAGAATTCAGAATAATCCTCTTGAAGTTAATGAACTATTAATCTAAGAATACATGGATAAAAATGAAATCGAATTTGGAAAACAATACACAAAATGAAAAGTTTGGCAATGATCTAAGAATAATTAAAAAATAGAAATCCTAGCCCCCAAGCTGGCAGGCTCGAGGCTTTTACACTGTGCCTCACTCATTTCAAAGGAGCCAAATAGTGTGTAGAGATTGAAACTGTGACCTTTTATCTAAAAAGGAACAGAGAAGTTCAACAGCATAGCAAAAGAAAATTTCAGATACCAGAAAAGAGAAGGTAGGCAGGCAGACTACATGTTGCAATCTGGCTGAAAACTGTGAGTGAATCCCCAACACAGGAGAAGGGGAATGAGTGTCTCTCTGCAATCCACTTCTTACAGGGGAACCATGTAATTCAGGCAACAAGAGAGCACCTTGACCCTCCCCATCTCTGGATCTAACTTGAGGAGTGGCTGGGAGACTGTCAGGAGGAATGGCACTAGCCAGTATCTCACACATTTTCCCAGACCAAAGCATTGATGTGAGGATGCCATTCTCAATCCTAGCTAAGAGAAAGCTGCACAGGATCCTGAAAACTAGCAGCAGCAGTAGCCATTGGCATTAGAGAATCTCAGGCCAGGGAATGGAGATCTGGGTCTTAAATTAGCAGGCAGATTGGGAGGGGATCCCACAGCCAGAATGGAAAAAACAAATGTAGTATGGTGTCTACTCATGGGTGCTGGACTTTGGTCCCATCCTTCAAGGAACCAGAGAAGAAGGCTGTTTTCCTGAGAAGTATGATTTGGACCCGGGTGACAAGCTTTATAGCCCAAGGCAGCTATACAAACTGAAAGCAAACTATGTGTGACTTAACTGCCTCAACTGTCAGAGACAGTTGAGACAGGGGAATGTACCCTGCTGGGTCTGGAGCATGAGAAGGAAGCATGTCCCACTCTTGCTCACCTATGTTAAGTACCCTGGGCCACCCCTAGTTTCCCATGCTGAGACCTTGGTGCAGCAACAGTTGTTTCACTCTTTGCCCAGGCATCTATAAAGGAGCCTTGAACTTCTCCTAGATCCCCATCAGGGCCAGTGCTTGTGCCTGCCATTGGGAAGCCCAAGTGCAGGCTTGCCCAGTCCAGCTCTACTGGAGTCCAGGCTCCCTCCCTGACCCTCCACTGAGACAGAACATGGGACCCAGACCAGAGAATGTTCCATGGCCCAAATCATCACCTGGGACACCAAAGCACTTCTCCGGGATCACAAAGGTCAAGTATAAATTCCACTGCTACCACCACAGCCATTTCCTATCTGCAAATGCCACCTATTGGCCTGGAGGTTGACCCACACAGCCCATTCATTACAACATTTGCTGACACAAGTGCATACCACATGGGAACAAGATAGATAAGCTTTTTGTAACTTCTACTACAACCATTGCATCTTGTCACCTCAGCTACTCAAGAGGTTATGAGCCTGCTCATCTGCCTGGTACACTACTGTTAAAACTGAAATTTGAAAAAGTCATCCTACTAAGGCTATTCATAACAAAGAAAAATCATACAGAGTCTTTGCCACCGAACATATCTAGAAGCAGAGCCAAATAGCCCAATTCAATATACATCATAGTCACATCTTCAGGAAAAAAAAATGTCCCACCCTAAAAAAAGTAAATTCAAAACACAAACAAAAAAAAGTGACTGTTTCTCCAGCTGTGAATAAATCAGCATAATAACACTGGAAGTATAAGAAAGAAAGATATTATGACACCTCCAAAGAAACACAGTAATTTTCTAGCAATAGATGCTAACCAAAAAAAAAATCCTAAAAATGCCAGATAAATAACCTAAAATATTAATTTTAAAAAGATCACTGAGATGCCAGAGAAATCTGAAAGCCAATACAAAGAAATCAGAAAATCAATTCAGAATATGAAGAAGAAATGTAATAAACCAAAAAGAACTTCTGAAAATAAAAAAATTCATTAAAGGAATTACAAAATACATTTGAAAGTTTTAATAACAAACTAGAAAAAGAATAAAAAATCTCAGAACTTGAAGACAAGTCTTTTTAATAAAGGCAGGCAGAAAAAAATTTTAAAAAAAGAATTAAAAAGAATGAACAAAGTCTTTGAAAAGTATGGGACTACATAAAGCAACCAAACTTATGAATCATGGGTATTCCTGAGGGAAACAAAAAAAGCAAAAAATGTAGAAAACCTATTTAAGGAAATAATTGATGAAAACTTCCCTAGTCTAGCAGGAGATTTAGACATCCAGATACAGCAGTCTCAACAATTACTGAGAAAATAAATTGCAAAACAGACCACCATGCCATATAATCATCAGACTGTCTAAGGTAAACATGAAAGAAAAAAATTCTAAAATCAGGAAGAGAAAGATATATACTCACCTATAAATAAAACCCAATCAGGCTAACAGCAGAATTCTCAGCAGAAACCTTATAAGCCTGAAGAGAATTGGATGCTATTTTCAAAGTGCTAAAAGAAGAAAAAAATAACTGCCAGCCAAATATGTTATATCCAGCTAAAATAAACTTGATAAATGAAGGAGAAATATTTCCCGGGCAAGCAAACACAGAAAATTCATCAACACTCACTCAGACTGACAAATGCTCAAAGAAGCCATAAACATGAAGACAAAAGTTTCATATTTGCCATCATAAAAACAAATAAAAGTATAAAATTCACAGATGTTATTTAAAAATTACACAGAGTAGGAAGAGAAAGGAGTCAAATGGCAATACAGCTGAACTCCACCAAACCACAAAGACAGAAAAATTTAAAAAACAATAAAACAAATAGATAACAACCAGCAATATGAGAGAAACAAAACATCACATATAAAAATTAACCCTGAACGTAAATGGCGTAAATCCTCACTTAAAATGCATAGATTGGTGAAATGGATTGAAATAAAATATGATGCAACTATATGCTATTTACAAGAGACTCACCTTACTGGTAAAAACACATATAGCCTGAAAGTAAAGGGATGGAAAAAGATATTCCATGCAAACAAACCCAAAGCAAGCAGGAGTATCTATACTTAAGTCAGATAAAACAGACTTTAAGCAAAAAAATTTACAGAAAACAGTTAAATAAATTAAAGAAAGTCATTATTTAATGACAAGAAGATCAATTCACCAAAAGAATATAACAATCCTAAATATATATGCACCCAACACCTGAGCATCCAGATTCATAAAACAAATTTTACTAGAGCTAAAAAAATAGATACATAGCAGTACAATAACAGTGGGGTTCATCAGTACTCTCCTAACAGCACTAGACAAATAAATGAGACAGAAAAATCAACAAAGAAATGTTGGACTCCAGACAAAATTAACCTAACAGACATTTACAGCAGCAGAAAACACATTCTTCTCAAACACAAACAGAACATTCTCAATAGATCATGTTTCAGGCCATAAAACAAGCCTTAACAAATTTAAGAAGATTAAAATCATATAAAGTTTTTCCTTCCATAATGATATGAAATTAGAAATCAATAGAAGATATTTCTAAAAATTCACAAATACGTGAAAATTAAACAACATATTCCTAAATAAAAGCTCAGGACTTGACAGCTTCACTGATATATTCTACCAAATATCTAAAGAACGAATACCAATCTTTCTCAAACTCTTCCAAAAAATTGAAGAGGGATGATATATTTTGGATGTGTGTACCTGCCCAAATCTGATACTGAAAAGTCCCAGGCCGGGCACTGTGGCTCACGCCTATAATCCCAACACTTTGGGAGGCCAAGGTGGATGGATCACCTGAGGTCAGAAGTTTGAGACCAGGCCGACCAACATGGTGAAACCCCATCTCTACTAAATACAAAACATTAGTTGGGTGTGGTAGCATTTGCCTGTAATCCCAGCTACTCAGGAGGCTGAGACAGGAGAATCACTTGAACCCGGGAGGCAGAGGATGCAGTGAGCAGAGATTGTGCCATTGCACTCCAGCCTGGGCAAAAGGAGTGAAACTCTGTCAGAAAGGAAAAGAAAGGAGAGGAGAGGGGAGGGGAGGGAAGGGGAGGGGAGGAAAATCCTGAGTGTTGGAGGTGGGACCTAGTTTGAGGCAACTGGATCATGGAGATGGATTTCTCATGAATGGTTTGGCACCATTTCCTTGGTGTAGCTCTCATGACAATGAGTCCTCACAAGATCTGGTTGTTTAAAAGTGTGTAGCATCTCCCTCTCCACTCTCTAGCTCCTGTTCCAGCCATGTGATGTGCCTGCTTCCCCTTTCCCTTCTGTCATAAGTTTCCTGAGGCCTCCCAGAAGCTGAAGGATGCCAGCATCATGCTGCCTGTACAGCCTGCAGAAATATGAGCCAATTAAACCACTTTTCTTTAAAAAGTAACTAGTCTCAGATATTGCTTTACAACAATGAGAAAAGGAACTAATACAGAAAATTGGTACCAGGAGTGGGAAATTCATACAAAGATATCTGAAAATGTGTGTATTAGTCTGTTCTCACATTGCTAATAAAGACACATCTGAAACTGGGCAATTTATAAAGGAAAGAAGTTTAATTGACTCCCAGTTCCACATGGCTGGGGAGGCCTCACAATCATGGTGAAAGAGCCAGGGACATCTTACATGGCAGCAGGCAAGAGAGAAATGAGAGTCAGTCGAAAGAGGCTTCCCCTCATAAAACCTTCAGATCTCCTGAGACTTATTCACTACCATGAGAATAGTATGGGGAAAACCACCCACATGGTTCACTTATCTCTCACCAGTTCCCTCCCATAACATGTGGGAATTATGGGAGCTACAATTAAAGATGAGATTTGGATGGGGACACAACCAAACCATATCATTCCACCCTTGGCCCCTCATAAATCTCATGTCTTCACATTTCAAAACCAATCATGGCTTCCCAACAGTCCCCCAAAGTCTTAACTCATTTCAGAATTAACTCAGAAGTTCAAAGTCCAAATTCTCATCTGACATAAGGCAAGTCCCTTCCACCTATCAGACCTTAAAATCAAAGGCAAGTTAGTTACTTTCTAGATACAATAAAGGTACAAGCATTGGATTAATGCACCTATTCCAAATGGGAGAAGTTGGCCAAAATAGAGCAGCTAAAGGTCCCATGCAAGTCCAAAATCCAACAGGGCAGTCAACTCTTAAAGTTTCAAAATGATCTCCTTTGACTCCATGTCTCACATCTAGGTCACATTTATGCAAGAGGTGGGTTCCCATGGTCTTGGACAGCTCTGCCCCTGAGGCTTTGCAGGGTATGGCCTCCCTCCCTGTTGCTTTCATGGGCTGGCATTAAGTATCTGCAGCTTTTCCAGGTGCATGGTGCAAGCTGTCAGTGGATCTACCATTCTGGGTTCTGGAGGATGGTGGCTTTCTCCTCACAGCTCCCCTAGGCAGTGCCCCAGTGGGGACTCTGTGGAAGCTTAAACCCCACATTTTCCTTCCACACTGCCCTAGCAGAAGTTCTCCATGCAGGCCCCTGTAGCAAGACATTCAGGCATTTCCATACATCCTCTGAAATCTAGGCAGAAGTTCCCAAATCTCAATTCTTGACTTCTGTGCACCCACAGGCTCAACACCACATGGAAGTTGCCATGGCTTGGAACTTGCACCCTCTGAAGAAATGTCCTGAGCCGTACCTTGGCCCCTTTTAGCCATGGCTGAAGTGGCTGGGATACAGGGTTCCAAGTTCCTAGGCTGTAACAGCAGGGGGGCCCTGGGCCTAGTCCACAAAACCATTTTTTCCTCCTAGGCCTCCAGGCCTGTGATGGAAGGGGCTGCTGCAAAAAGTCTCTGACATGCCCTGGAGACATTTCCCCCATTGTCTTGGTGATTCACATTTGGCTCCTTGTTACTTATGCAAATTTCTGCAGCCAGCTTGAATTTCTCCTCAGGAAACAGGTTTTTCTTTTCTATCATATTGTCAGGCTGCAAATTTTCCAAACTTTTATGCTCTGCTTCCTCTTTAATGCTTTGACCCTTAGAAATTTCTTCTGCCAGATACCTTAAATCACCTCTCTCAAGTTCAAAGTTCCACAGATCTCTAGGGCTGGGGAAAAATGCTGCCAGTCTCTTTGCTAAAGCACAGCAAGAGTCACCTTTGCTCAAGTTCCCAACAAGTTCCTCTTCTCCATCTGAGACCACCTCAGCCTGGATTTCATTGTCCATATCATTATCAGCATTTTGGTCAAACCCAATCAACAAGTGTCTAGGAAGTTCCAAACTTTCCAACATTTTCCTGTCTTCTTCTCAGCCCTCCAAACTGTTCCATTCTCTGCTTGTTACCCAGTTCCACAGTCACTTCCACATTTTTGGCTATCTTTAGAGCAGCGCCCCACTCCCAGTATTAATTTACTGTATTAGTTAATTTTCATGCTGCTGATAAAGCTATATCTGAGACTGGGTAACTTATAAAGAAAATGAGGTTTAATGGACTCAGAGTTTGATGTGGCTGGGGAGGCCTCACAATTATGACAGAAGGTGAAAGGCACATCTTACATGGCAGCAGGCAAGAGAGAAATGACAGTCAAGCAAAAGAGGTTTCCCCTTATAAAACCTTCAGATCTCGTGAGACTTATTCATTACCACAAGAACATTATGGAGGAAACTGCCCCCATGATTCAATTATCTCCCACCAGGTTCCTCCCACAACATGTGGGAATTATGGGAGCTATAATTCAAGATGAGATTTGGGTGGGGACACAGTAAAACCATATCAATGTAGAAGCAGCTTTGGATTTGGGTAACAGGTAGAGTTTGGAAAAGTTTGGAGGGCTCAAAAGACAGGTTGATTAGTTACAGTTTGGAACATCTTAGAGACTGGTTAAATGGTTGTGACCATAATACTAATAGTGATATGGACAATGAAGTCCAGGCTGAGCAGGTCTCAGATAGAAATGAGGAACTTACTGGGAACTAGAGCAAAGGTCACTTTTTTTATGCCATAGCAAAATAACTTGCCTACAATGTGCCCCTGCCCTAGAAGTTTGAACTTGAGAGGTTTGGTTTAGGGTATCTGGCAGAAGAAATTACTAAGCAGCAAAGCAGTTGAAGCTGTGACCTGGCTGCTTCTAACAATGTATGCTCATATGCTTGGGCAAAGAAGTGATCTAAAGTTGGAACTTATATTTAAAGGGGAAGCAGAGCATAAAAGTTTGAAAAATTTGCAGCCTAGCCATGTGGTAGAAAAGAAAATTCCATTTCCAGGGGAGAAATTCAAGCAGCCTGCAGAAATTTGTATAAGCAAATGGGAGCCAAATGCTAATAGCCAAGACAATGAAGAAAAGGCCTAGAAAGCATTTCAGAGACCTTCAGGGCAGCTCATCCCATCATAGGCCCTAAGGTTTAGAAGGACTGAATGGTTTCAAGGGCCAGGCCCAGGGCCCCACTATCTTGTGCAGCCTTGGGACACAGCTCCCTGTTTCCCAGTAACTCCACTTCCAGCCATGGCTCAAATGGGCCCAGGTACAGCTCGAGCTGCTGCTTAAGAGAGGGGAAGCCATAAGCCTCGGTAGTTTCCATGTGTTGTTAAGCCTTCAGGTGTGTTGAGTGCAAGAGTTGAGGCTTGGAAGCCTCCACCTAGATTTCAGAGGATGTATGGAAAAGCATGAGTGCCCAGGCAGAAGCCTGCTGCGGGGCAGAGTCCTCATGCAGAAGCTCTACTAGGGCAGTGTGGAGAGGGAATGTGGGGTTGGAGTTCTCACACAGAGTCCCTACTGGGGCCCTGCCTAGTGGAGCTGTGAGAAGAGAGCCACCACCCTCCAGACTCCAGAATGGTAGATCCACCAGCAGCTTGTACCCTGTGCCTGGGAAAGCTGGAAGCATTCAGCTACAACCTGTGAGAGCAGCTGCAGGGGTTGAATACTGCAAAACCACAGGGGCAGAGCTGCTCAAGGCCTTGGGAGCCCACGCCTTGCATCAGGCTGCCATGGATGTGAGACATGGAGTCAAAGACTATTTTGGAGCTTTAAGATGTAACGACTGCCCTGCTGGGTTTTGGATTTGCATGGGGCCCATAGCATCTTTCTCTTGGCCTATTTCTCCCTTTTGGAATGGAAATATTTATCCAAGACCTATAACCCTATGGTATCTTAGAAGTAACTAACTTGTTTTTGATGTTGCAGGCTCATAGGCAAAAGGAACTAGTTTTGTCTCAGAAGAGACTTTGGACCTTTCAGTTAATGCTGGAAAAGTTAAGACTTTGAGGATTATTAGGAAAGCATGATTGTATATTAAAATGTGAAAAGGACATAAAATTTGGGAGGGGTCAGGACGAAATGATATAGTCTGAATGTGTCTCCACACAAACCTCACATTGAAATGTAATCCCCAGTGTTGGAGGTGGGGGCCTGGTTTGAGGTAATTCAATCATGGGGGTGAATTTCTCATGAATGGTTTAACACCATCCCCTTCATCCTGCCCTCATGACAGTGAGTGAGTTCTCACGAGGTCTGGTTGTTTAAAAGTGTGTGGCACCTCCCCCTGCCCCCTTGCTCCTACTCCAGTCATGTGATGTGCCTGCTCCTTTTTCACCTTCTACCATAATCATAAGTTTTCTGAGGCCTCCCCAGAAAACACACAGATGCTAGCATTATGCTTCATGTATAGCCTGTGGAACCATAAGCCAATTAAACATCTTTTCTTTATAAACTGCCTAGTCTCAGGTACTTCTTTATAGCAATGTTAGAATGGACTAATACAAGGAAACACTTCCAAATTCCTTTGAGAAGGTGAGCATTGCCTTGATACCAAAGTCAGTGTATTAGTCTGTTTTCACACTGCTGATAAAGACACACCTGAGACTGGGTAATTTATACAGAAAAAAAGGTTTAATGGACTTACAGTTCTACGTGGCTAGGGAGGCCTCACAATCATGGCAGAAGGTGAAAGCCATGTCTCACATGGTGGCAGACAAGAGAAGAAAGCTTAGGCAGGGAAACTCCCCTTTTAAGACCATAAGATCTCATGAGACTTATTCACTATCATGAGAACAGCTCCCACTGGGTTCCTCCCACAACATGTGGGAATTCAAGATGAGATTTGGGTGGGGACACAGCCAAACCATATCAGCCAGGTAACAACATTACAGGAAAAGAAAGTTATAGTCCCAGTATTCCTCATGAACATATATGCACAATTCTGCAACAAGTACTAGTATATGGAATTCAATGGCACCTTAAAGGGATCATTCACCATGCTCAAGTGGGATATATCCCTGGGATTCAAGTATGGCTCAACATAAACAAATTAATAAATGTGATACACCACCTTAACAGAACAAAGGAAAAAAATAGATTATCATCTCAATAGATGCAGAAAAGGAATTCAACAAAATTCAACATACATTCATGATAAAAATTCTCAACAAATTAGGTGTAAAAGGAAGGTACATCAACACAATAATGGCCATATACAAGAAGCTCATACAAAGCAACATACTTAATGCTGTAAAGTTGAAAGCTTTGCCTTTAAGATCATGAACAAGACTAGAATGTTCACTCTTGTCACTTCTTTCAACGTAGTACTGGAAGTCCTCAGCAGAGCAATTAGAAAAGAGAAAGAAAAATAAAAATATAAACAACTCTGTAGAAAGAAAACAAGCTGATTAAAAATGGTCAAGGGACCTGAATAAGCATTTCTTAAAAGAATATATACAAAGGGCCACCGTTAAATGAAAAAAAAATGCTCAACATCACTAAATATTAGGGAAATGCAATGAGATAGCACCTCACACTTGTCAGAGTGGCCATTATCAAAACAAACAAACAAACAAACAAAAACAAGTGTTGGCAAGGATACAGAGAAAAGGAAATCCTTGTATACTGTTGATGAGATGGTAGGTTAGCACAGCCATTACAGAAAACAGTATTGTCATTTCTCAAAATACTAAAAATAGAACTACTATATGATCCAGAAATTCCACTTCTGGGAATTTATCCATAAGATTTAAAATCAGTATGTCAAAGAGTTGTCGGCACTCCTCTCCTACGGTCACTGCAACACTATTCATAATAGCCAAGTTACAAAATCAACCTAAGTGTCCATCAGCACATGAATAGATAAAGAAAGTATGTGATATATACCCAATGGAACACTTATTCAGCCTTAAAAAAGAAAGAAATTCTGTCATTTGTGACAGCCTGAATGGAACTAAAGAACATTATGCTAAGTGAAATAAGCCAAGCACAGAAAGACAGATATTCCTGCATGTTCTCACTTCCACGTGGAATCTAAAACAATCAAACCCAAAGAAGCAATGAGAATAATGGTGGTTACCCGAGACCACTGGGGTGGGGTGGAAAGATGATTGTCAAATACAACAAAGACTCAATTAGAAGACAGCTTTTTTTTTCTTTGAGATATACTCCACAGTATGATGAATATAGTAAATAATAATGTATTGTACATTTCAAAATTCCTAAGAGAGTAAATTTCAAATCTTCTCACCACAGAAAGTAAGTATTTGAGGTGATGGATATGTTAATTAGCTTGATTTAATTATTCTGTTTCATAATTCATAATTTATGATATCACTTTGTATCCCATAAACATATATAACTATAATTTATAAATTTACAATTTTAAAATATGTTTCAAAACAAAACTCACCAAGTATAATATTCTTTCCTGTTCAAACCAACATAAAGAATAAGATTTAACCTTTTCCTGCAACACAGAATCCTTATCATGAGCATCATGTTGTTCTGAATGTGTCAATGCCAGTGAGGACTACAGATTTCAGACCCGATTCACTGAATTCCTCCCACCTACTAAGTCTATTTAAGTTGACAATTTTGGTGTCTCTTCCCTATGTGGTAGTTCCAATGGTATAGAGGGCAGTTTGCAACACCAATGACATTAGACTGTCTGCTGCTCCAGTTATTTAATCAGTTTTTTTCCCTTAATCCCCAGGTTGGCTTTCTAGACAACCCCCCTCCACCTTGCTTGCTTTCTGGTTGTAACCTCACATTAAGTAAAGATTGACAGTGGTAAAATTAGTTTTTATCTTATGTAGTATTGACTCAAAAAGAGGAAAACTGTGGTTTTACTTTAGGTAGCAAAACATATCTTCCAGCGCAGGCTGTTATTTAAAGGTATTTCCTACTGAATTTTGGATAATGAAAGTTATATACTACTTGATAGCTACTGGGGTGGTGTGCCTTGGTGTTACCTTGCTTTCCCTCATCTCTGATTTTCCCCTTACATTCAACTTTATTCCAACTGTCCATACTCAGCCTTGATCATTTTCCTATTTCTCACATGGCTACTTCTGTGTTCACACAAAAGCTCCAAAGAAGCCCTGATCTGTTATGTAGTTCAGGATAGGTGGTACACAAAAATAATACAATTGGGAAACATATCACAACCTTAAATGCAAAATTTTCCCCAAGACCTATTTCATATTCATCTTTCCTTCTTTCAGAAGGGGACAGGAGAAATTCGATGCAATGAGGTAAAGCATTTCCCCACTTGAAAATCTGTTTGCTCAATAATTTGAGCTCTTGCTACTACAGCTTTTTTTTTCTTTCTTTCTTTTTTTTGTTTTGTTTAAGAGTATTTGTTACAGGAAATAGCCACACAATGTAAATGTATACCCATACTTAAGGAAAATGACTTGAATGCCTCAAGATGAGGTTTTATTTTTACAGTTCCTTCTGAAATCAGAAGGTAGAGATAAATAACCCCTCTTATTCTAGAGGGAAAGAATTCTGAGTTTGTCATTTCTTTGTGTTATTTTGTCTTCTTTTTTAGAAGTGAGGTATCCTGAACTTAACAGCCAGACAAGTTTCATCATTGCTTAGGAAGTATCTGAATGTAATGGCAAAGAGCCAGAGAGAAAGAGCAGCATTAAGTGTTTTTAATTTATAATGAAAAGTCATAATGGCTTAATAACTACACGTGAAACTCTGAAAATTCCTCCAAGTAAAAGGGCAACATGGTACTCAAGAAGTCGTCAGCATGAGTAACTGAAGAAGAGAAGGCTAGATAACAAAAGACAAGAATGAGACGCTAACCTAGACTCAGGCTAGAGAGATACAACTCATTCTGAAGAAGCAGCCGGTGGTAAAAGGAAGAACTCTCCTTACACAATCTGTTTGTTTCCCAAATGACTAATGACAAAATGCCTCCAACTCTGGTCCTCCAGGCTTCTGGGGTCAGTCTTCCTTTAGCTATATTTTAAATAACTCAAGCCTCCATCCTTCTTAATCTTCTGAAAATTTGGACACTTTTCACAAGAAATCTGAGAATTTCTGGAGTAGAATGCTCTCATGGTCACTTCTTATCCTGCCTCATAACAGCACTACCAACAACCTAAAATCAGTTATTACACTTCTGTGTTTTTAAAGTCTTTCAACCCACACCTCTTCCTCCCTCCACCAAGCCCCCTCCCCAAGGAAATTTTTCACTGGAAAACATTTTCTCTCCAAGTGAAGCTCCCTAATACATTGCTGTATCCCCCACCATATGCATCCTTAAATTTCTCCTTTTATGTGTTCTTAACCTCTATCTCCCAGGCTACCTGAGCAAACTGTAGATTTTTTATGCAAAGTTAATCAGCATTCAGCTTTGCCCTCTGTTTCACAATCATGAATGACCACACACTGGAACCATCTGAGGAGCATATGGCATATCAAAGACCAGGCCCCACCGTACATCAAATGAATTACAGTCTCAGTAAGGAAGGCCAGAATATCATTATACTTTAAAAGTTCCCCGGGAGATTCTAATGTACAAGCTAGAAAACTTTTCTAGCCCAGTGCTTCCTGAGCTTTAATGTTCGTAAGAACTACCTGGGGATCTTTTTAAAAGGCAGATTATGATTTAGTAGACCTAGAGTGGAGCCCAAGATTCTGCAATTCTAACAATTACTCAGGACCACACTTTGAGTAGTAAGATTCTAGACCAGTGGTTTCCAAACTTGTTCCACATTAGTATCACCTGGACATCTTTAGAAACTACTGCTGTCTGGCTTCTAGTCCCAGATATTAGGATTTTTAAAATTTCATAGGTGCTTCCAAATCCTTATTTTAAACCATGAATCCAGGAAGGGTGAGTCTGTTATATCTGTCATCGTTTCCATTTCCAAACCAATAACAGCTCACTGATAAGAATCTTGCAGCTTCCCTCGTATACTAAAACTTCTGTAGTTAGCTCTTATTCTAAACAGCAATTTTCCATCCCAATTATAGAATGTTATACATGTGTATAAGACAACTATTTAGTAAAACAGTGTTGATTTACACTTTTATTTCCAAAGGCCCAATATAATAATGTCTTTAAGTATAAACTTTAGCAGAAATTTCTAAACCCAGGTGGATTTTTTCATGCATCAGGTATTACCAATAAGAGCAATAGGAAAGAGGCTGCTCTACAATTGGTACCCTGACATGTGCTCTTTACAAAATTACCAATTACTACTTAAACTAATATGCCAAGATCTTACCCTTGGAAGTGGTCAATAAGTAATTCGTTGAATAGGCATCCCATCTTGACTTCAAGATAATCACTGGTGAGTTTATATGACAGGCAGTAGATGGCTACAGCACAAGCTATATATTGATAAGTGAACACTTCTTTCTTTGTTTAAATTCTCTCTTTCCAAATATTACATGAGTGATCTTGAAAAAGTTTATTAACTTTGAGCTCATTTGTCCCATCTATAAGGATTAGAATAACAAAGACTGCCATATACACATGTACACACACACACACACCACATATACATATGGGGAATTTAAAGAAAAATAAATATTAGATGAAATTACTGCCTGTCCATTACTCTGTGCTCAATAAACATTAGCATCTTTCTTTTGCATACCCCACCCAGTTTGCAATTATTATTGGCTAGTAAGATTTTCCAAAATGTCAGAACTTTATAGCTTGATTTTTATATCTATTTCTAATTCAAAGGAAAAATATGATATAGAGCAGCGCAACAGATGTTGTAGAAAGCTGTGAAGGGACTAAATATGTTTTCTGTACTTGAAAAGCAGATCATCTACTGCTAGATAGAATAAACATAAATATGTAAGTATATAAAAACACAGAGAAAACACACAGCTAGTTTCACCTATGCAAAGGATCAAACATGAGGGCTGCACTGTTGCTGAGAGACCAGGCCCTGGGGCCATGTATCTGAAAGCTGCATAAAAATGAAGAGTTTGTGCAGAAATTTTAAGGCACAAAAGATGGGCCTTGGTGTGACAGAAGGCAGAGAAATAGAACAAAGAAGACTCCTATTTAAAGAGTATCACTGGCAGTGTTCAGTAACAATACAATCCCATCAAGTAAACTGTACAGAACATCAGGTTTTAAGGACCTACATTTTTTATGACTGAATATAAAATGAATTCAATTTTTAAAACTTCAGATCCAAAGGTACTATGGGATTCTCCGTCCTTTTCTCTGATACTTCTGTAGTGTCAATATACAAAAGAGACATAGTTTAAGGGATTTAAAGAGTATCCTTGTACCTTAAAAATCAGTCTGATCTGCAATTGCCTTGCTGTTATGTATTCTTATTGCAGAAACTGGAGACCTTTGTACAGTTTTCACTTCAGAGTACTTTTAAGTCTTTTCCTAAAGTGAAATGTGTGTTTGTAGTGTATATTTGGCAGGAAGGACAGGAAAGCAGATAAAGCTTTTCATATACTTGATACTGTGACAATTTGAGTTTCGTTCACCTATAATAAGATGGCTAAATTTCACAATAAATAATAGCTGTACTGTCTTTTAATCAACAGGGCTCCATGCTTGTTTATCCAGCTGGTATATATGTACATGCCAAAAAGTCACCAGTCTTGCTGAAACAGGAGAGTTCCCAGATCCTCCTCACAGGACATGTGACAGGGGTGTGGCTCATCTGTTCTCTCATCGCCACTGCTGAAACCCCTGATGGGAGGGGGAATACGCAGACAGACGGGTGTAGGAGCCCAAATGGGCATGTGCTACAGTGTGTCCTTTTAGTCTTGTTGTCTGTGCATGGCTTGAGTGTTAACCAGCTCAGTGGACCCTCTGTCTTTCTGCAAGGCAGAGGACCAGTGTGACAGTTTTCTGTATCCTGAACTCTTGTCTCGTGTCCTAGAAGAAAAGGGTCACACATGGACTTGAAGGATGAATGTGGGAGTTTTATTGAGTGGTGGAAGTAGCTCTCATCAGGATGGATGGGGAGCCAGAAGTGGGGATGGAGTGGGAAGATGATCTTCCCCTGGAGTTTGGCCATCCAGCGGCCAAACTCCTCTCTGACCGCCCCCAGTCAAATTCCTCTCAGTGTTCAGACATTCCTCCTCCTCTCTTTCTCTGCTATGTCATTCCATGGTTCATTTGCTTATCTCCTCGTCTGTTTGTCTGCTTCTGGAGCCTGGGGTTCAGGTTTATATGGGTACAGGACAGTGGGCGTGGCAGGCCAAAAGGCAACTTTTTGAGCACGAAAACAGGAATGCCTGTCCCCATTTAGGGCCATGGGTCTCCAGGCTTGAGGGTGGGGCCTTTGTCGGGGAACCACCCTCTTCTACCCAGTATTGTCCTGCATCCTGTCTGTATCATTGCTATATATTAACCATGTAGACTTTATCAAATATCCTTTAAGATTATAGGTAAATGGATGCTGTGATATGAGATAACTGGGATGGACAAGAGGTTTTCCAGCAATGTTCAGGATTATTCTGAGCTCAGTTGTGATTTTATTTTTTTTCTTCTTTTTGTTTAAAGATGTATCAAGGGCACTTGAAAACAAGAATTGTAAAATCCAACTATTTGTGATGTCACTACTCTAAAGAGATCAGAAATCATTCTTCCCACTTCTTACAAGTAGTCTCAACAAGATGTGTCTTCTCTAGAAAAGGTATACAACTTCTCAGTTTGCGAGTGTCCCCCAGTGGCCAAGTGCTATGAATAGAACAGGTGGACAGACTGGCTAATCTGCTTGAGTCCTTATGGGTTCAATACCTGATTCAATTCTATATTCAAAGTGTAGTGGTTCATTATTTAAGTTTCAGATCACCTCACAATGAGTTCACAACAATAAAATATTAGAAAGTAATACTTTCATCATTTAGCTAAGGTTGTAGAGCAACACACTAACCTAAAATCTAAGGAAAGGCAGGCACCTCCAAAGACAGATGGAAAGTAAGAACTTGCTGACCTGAAGTAGACGCTGCTGGGCAAATAAATAGAATTTAGCTAAAATATTTAAAGAATCAGGCTAACCAGAAAATACATAACTCCTGTGACCTGCAGACACAAGGAGAACTTGCATCCACTTGTAGGCTTGTCTCCAAAGACCTTGTCACATGTTCAGAAAAACAACTGTGAAGATACTAAGAAAACCTCTCTTGAGATGGAGTTCTTGGAAGGGGGCAGCTCCTGCTGGAAAAGCACACAACCCTATCTGGATCTTTCTCTCCTATCTCTCCTGGAATCAAAGGCCTTAAATTGTTGAAGGAAGTAAAACAAATCCTCCCTGCCTTGGGGAGGGGAAGGGGGCTGGGCGGGGCTGTTGAAAATCAACTGTATTTAAGGAGTGGGAATAGAAAAAAAAACTCTCTACCACTAGAGGAGAGGCTGGAACAAGTACTGGGCCCAGATCATTAAAGGTTTCCTCAGAGACATCCTGAGAAGTCCTACTCCTGTGACCCAGAACTCAGTGCCTGTCTAAGTCTGCAGCTTTATCAAAACAACAGAAAATACTGCCCCCACCACCCACCTCAGTCCCCCAACCACCACCCCCCTCCACACACACATCTACCGCCATGCAACTAAAGCTGAACTATCCGTCAAGGAACAACAGCGCGCTTAAAGAAAAGGAGCAAGACCTTGAAGAGAGAAGCTCTCTGAGAAGATATAAAGCAGAGGTGGGGCAAACATTCAAAAAACAACCTCTGGTAAACCAGCCCTTACTCTAAGATTGAAAGCTGGTGTTGCACAAAAAAGTTACCATAGCAACAACAAAATGTGACTATAGCCCAATTTCTGACTTAACTGACTCAACTTCCCCTTATACAAAAGGGCTAGCAAAAGGAAAGTTACTACACTATTTCCAGGCATAAAAATTGTTTATCTCAGTCTTTGCTATCCTAGATGTGGTGTCCAAATGCCAACAAAAAACTAAGAGGCATTAGACAAAGCAAATAAAAAACAACAAATTGTCAAGAAACAAAGCAAAAATATACCCACTCTCAGATAGGATAGATGTTGAAAATATCAGACTAGGAATTAAAAATAACTATGGTTAATATATAAAAGGCTTTAGTGGAAAAATTAGACAACATGCAAAGCCAGATAGGTAATTTCAGTAACAGAACTGAAACTGCAACAAAAAATCAAGTGGAAATCCAAGAAATTAAAATATAATAGAGATGAAGAATGCCTTCAATAGGCTCAGCAATAGACTTGATGCAGAGAAGAGAATAAATGAAATTTAAGATAAGTAAGATAAGTCAATAGGAATTAACCAAAAGAAAAAAAAAGACACAAAGGGAATGATGGGTGAAACAATAAGTGAGCAGAGCATCTGAGAGTAATGAAACAATATCAAACAGTTTAAAATGTGTGCAATTAAAATACCAAAAAGAGAAGAAGATAGGACAAAAAAAAATTAAGAAACAATGGGAAAAAATTTTTCTGAGTTAATGACAAACTCCAAACTATAGATCCAAGATGCTCAGAGAACATCAAGCATGATAAACACAAAAAAGAAACAGAAAGTAACTAGGCATGTTGAAAACCAGAAACAAAGAGAAAATCTTGAACACAACCAGGGGCAGGGAAAAAAAAGATACATTATGTACAGAACAACAAATATAAGTTATGATTGCGCCAGATTTCTCATCAGAAATAATGCAAGAAAGAAAAACACTGAGTGGCATCTTAGGTGCCAAAAGAAAAACTGTTAATTCTTAATTCTATATCTAGTGAAATATCAGTCAAAAATAAAGGAGAAATAAAACCTTCCTGAAAGAAATAAACTCAGAGAGAATTCATGGCCAGCAGAAATGCATTATACTAAATTTTAAGAGAGTTCTTCAGGCAAAGGTATATGATACCAGTCAGAAACCTGGATATACAGAAAGAAATAAATAGCACTAGAAATGGAATATGGATATAAAATTATTTTTTATTTTTAATTGGTTCTAAGAGATAACTGACTGCCTAAAGCAAAAATAGTAGCAATGTATTGTATGTATTGTATGTATGTATAAAAACTTATAGTATGTGTAAAAATAAAATGTATGACAACAGTACAATGAGAATAAAGGATTGAGAGTATATTGTTATAAAGTTCTTACAGTACATGTTAAGTGCCATAATATACTCCTTGACTATTTAAAGATGAATACTAAAAATGTTAGAGAAACCACTAAAATAGTTTATGAAAAAGAACAAATAATGAGGCAATAGTGGTTAAAAACTGAATCATAAAAAAATGCTCAATCTAAAATAAGGCAGAAAAAATAAGAAAAAACAAATAGAAAACAACCAGCAAAATGGTAGATTTTAACTAATCATCTCAATAATTACATTATATGTAAAGGGTCTAAATATATCAAGTTAAAAGGCAAATTTATTATACTTGATAAAAGAGTACAACACAACTTATTTTTGTCTGTAAGATATCTTAAATATAAAGGCATAGAGGGGTTAAAGTAAAAGATTTATTGTGTAAGCACTATAAAAAGAAAGATTGAGTACCTACATTAATATCTGCCAAAGCTAACTTTATAACAAGGAATCTTGCCAGGGATGAACAGAAACATTAGAAAATGATAAAGAGGTCAACTCTTCAAGAAAAGGTACTAATCCAAAACATAATAATCCAAATATTTATGCATTTAACAACACGGTTTCAAAATACATAAGGTAAAAACCAATAGAAATGAAAGGAAAAATAGATGAATTCACAATTACAGTTGAAAATTTTAATTCTCCTTTCTTGGTAATTGAAGAAATAAGTAGACAAAGGATATAGAAACCTAATACCAACTTAGCCTCACTGATATTTTGTACAACACTCCACCCAATTACAACAGAATACACATGATTTTCAAGAGTACAGGAAACATTCACCAAGATAGGCCATATTTTGGGTTATAAAAAAAACTTAGCATATACAAAAAAATTAAATAAATATATTCTCAAACATCATATAATCAAATAAATGCACATAAAAAAATGAATCTACCTACTAACTTGGAAATAATTTTTTAATACTAAAATACAATTTTGGAAAAAACTGCTGGAATAGACACACTCATGCACAGCTAATGGGAGTGTATATTGGCACGATTATTCAAGAGAATATTAGGCAATTTATTATAAACCTTAAATTTTGCATAATTTGACTTAGAAATTTACCTTGTAAAAGTGTACACTAAACAAATCATAATGTGCACATATATGTATAAGAATTTTCCTGCAGTATTATCTATAATAGTTAAAATCAGAAGTAATTTAAATATGCAACCATATATAAACTCATTTAACAAATACATATTCAGTGACCACTATGTACCAAAAGCCATTCTAGGCACTGGACAGTAGGAAGTAAGACAAATCAAGTTCCCTACTTCCACATATTTTCTATGCTAGTGGAGAGACAAACCATTAAAAACTAAACAATAAATATATAATTTCTGGTAGCAATAAGAAAATTTATGAAGTTGGTAAGTAAATTTTGGTATATTTATACAATGGCATGCTATGTAGCCATTAAAATAATATTGAAGCAAACAAAATAAGCAAACAAAAATAATGACATGAGAAGATGTTGCCAATATATCACAATTTGTAATGTGCACTATAAGATATATGTAAACTGAATAATACCATATTGGTCACAGAAAAAAGTACAGTATTAGAAAAATAATGTAAGAATATACCCTACAAAGTTAATAATCTTTCAACTGTGGATGTTCTTCCTTTGAGCTCTTTGTTTTCCAAGTTTTCTGAGGTGTATATTACTCTTGTAATTTTAAAAAAAACATGAAGTTTTTTAAAAATGAGGTTAGGCAATAAAAGGAAGCAGAAAAATAATAATAGAGGCAGACATTTTTGTGCCAGTGGTCCTTTTTTTTTTTTTCTTGTTTTAGGACAGGGGAAATTTCATAAAATGAATAGGTTCAGGAAAAAGAGTAAGTATATAAGGAGATGGTAAAAGATGCAAGAGAGAGTGGTTGTTTAGACAAAGTCCAAAAAAAAGATTGAGGTTATGGGGTCCCAGGCACAGAAAGTAAACCAACTTTGAAAAGGAAAAGGAACACATCTTTCTTTGAAACAAAAACAATTAGAAGATGAATAAAACTGCAAAGACAGTTTAGAAGATGCATAAAAATACAAAGACAGTTTAGAAAGAAACACATTTGGGAATCTTCATAACAGATATATTCAATGTTCTTTTTTTTTTTTTTTTTTTTTTTTTTTGAGACAGATTCTCACTCTGTCACCAGGGCTGGAGTGCAGTGGCACAATCTCAGCTCAGCTCACTGCAACCTCCACTTCCCTAGTTCAAGGGATTCTCCTGCCTCAGCTTCCCGAATGGCTGGGACTACAGGTGCTCACCACCACGCCCAGCTAATTTTTGTATTTTTAGTAGAGACAGGGTTTCACCATGTTGGCCAGGATGGTCTTGATCTCTTGACCTTGTGATCTGCCCGCCTCGGCCTCCCAAAGTGCTGGGATTACAGGCGTGAGCCACCATGCCATGCCTCAATGTTCTTATTTAACAGGTAAGCAATTTTTTTTGCTCACAGTTAAAAGATCAGGAACCAGTAAACACACTTGACAAAGCAAAAAAGCATTGAATGGCTGTTGGGAACTGGTGCTTGGTGTTGCAAAAATCAACACTGAGACAAAGGATCTCTCAGCAAGGCTAGTTTACTTTCTGCAGAAAGGGTGCTGCTTGCTAGCAGTCTTGCCACGAGAACACACATGAACAAAGGAGACAGGGTCATTTATAACCTGAGACGTCCACCCTACTGCTGTGTCTGGTTTCCACTGGCTAGAATGGGACCTCATATTCTGTACTCAACCCAATTGGCTAGCAACTTAGAACTTCCCAAAAGAGGCAAAGACAGAGGAGAACAAAGGAAGAGAGGAAGTAATTTGTGGAATGCTGACAGAGGCAAAAGCACTTCCAAATAAGGAAGAAGAATAGGCTATGACCTAATGCTTGCTTGGACTGGTTCAGGCATGCCAAGGCAAATATCTAGGCTAAAATGTGGGAGCTAAGAACACACAGTGTATTGATTTCTTTATTATGGCTAGCAGATATTTAAGAATATTAGCACAATTCTTTGAGTAAATTTTGCTTCCAAGAGAGGTTACTATCTATTCTCAATTAGACTGGGAGGAAAGTTTCTTTGAAGAGGAACCTCTACTTATTTCATTTTCTACAATTCCCCCCTCTTTTATTTTATAATTCCTCTTCAAACCTGTATACTATGTCTTGACTCAACTGCTGTTTGTCCTTCTAAGAGAAGTAATCTTTCCGAATAGGGTGGAGAAGAGTTAGGAAATCATTTTGTGAGAGTAGCAGAGACAAATTTTTGTATAAAACTTTGAAGACAGGGAATAATACAGCAGCCTACAAGAATAAGTACACCAATAACAAGAGCAAACGAGGTGAGAACTAAAGTCAAAATTCCTTTCCATCCACTGAACCAATGTTCTATTATTTTAGAAAAAAGATCATTTATTTCAGAATTTTTGGCAAGTTCATCGGAGAGGGCTGTTAATCTCTGCAGTGTTCTGGTTATAGTTCCGTCAGGGGTAGTATTATTAGGTATAAAGCTACAACATTGGGTCACAATCATAACACAAATACCTCCTTTTTCCCCCAATATCATATCTAAGGATATTCCATTTTCCCAGGCCATCTGACTGGTAGGTCCTAATTGTTTAGCTATCCCTTTAATGGCATCCATAGTGTAATTTACGAATCGTTGCTGATTGTAATAGATATAGTTTATCCAGTCTACATTTTTATTAATAGTTACCCACCAGAATAACATACACTCAAATCCTGCAGCTGTTTGATTTTGCGCTTTGAATTTATCTGGCACTCCTCATGGAACCCCAATAGCATCTTTATAAACTTGAGAATCAAAGGACTTATAAGGAATTTCTTTTGGCTTATGACATTTTGTTTTTACTTTACCAGACTGTTGAGATGCCAGGGTGAAAGGGATAGCAGAACTGGAGCACAAGTTCTGCTCCAGTTACTTGGCAGAGTGTCCAGTAAAAGTCTACCACAATACCACCATACATCTGCTTGGCAATGGCTAAGCGTGGACTGATGGGCAAGCTCCTGGAAAGGCTTGAGCTCCTTGCATCCTTTTATGCCTCCAAGGAACATCAAATTTTCCCCTTGCTGTGAGAGGCACAAAGTAAACTTGGCATTTAGAGGTGGAAGTTGGATTGCCCTCGGGGGCTGACCTACAGGGTGTTGAACTTCAGGAAACAGCAGAGAGAGCTCAGCATGATGGATTATCCCAAGCAGTGGGATTCTGAAAGACAGTCACCATACAGTCTGTACCTGGTCAATGAGGAGACCATCCGAGTGGAAAGGTGACAATCTGAGCCTCTGGCCTATCGTGAGCACAAGCGTAACAATCACTCTTATTTAAAGTGTGAATGGGATATTTATTCCATTCCAGCCGGGCATTTGCATTTTGATATTCTGTCTCAATGGCTAAGGTTTGTCTTAGATCTTTTACCTTCCTAATAGACACCCTGGTTTTATTATTAGGTGTAGAAGCAACCAGTGTGGGATCTAAAACTGAAGCTACTGAAGAAGGGGAAGATGGGGGAATATTGCATATCTTAAAAATGCCTAGGGGGTCTTTCCCATTTACATCAATCCCCATACCATATAAGCAACTAAGGGCAGGTCTAGAGTCAGTTAAGGTGGAGGTGCTGATAGAGAGAAAGACTGAGAAGGGGTAGTCCCTTTAGTGAAATAGATGAGGGGTTTTAGATCTGCACAAACCTCTTCCTTAGAAGTCCAACCTTGCTCCTGAGTAGTCCAAAGGATGTAGTCCCATCTACTACAAGGTTGCCAGGCTGTAGGAGCAGAAAATTGGCATCTCAGCTACAGGTGATCACAACGATGAGTGCTAGGAGTAACTGTGTCAGTTAGAGGGCTGGGGCATAAATATTTGTGTGAAAAGGCTAGCTATTATTGATCCTTCACATCTCCACAAGGTATGACGTAGCAAGCATCAAAAGCAATGGTCTGAGGTGAGTCAGACTTAGTTACATTAATAACAAAGGAGCTAGTAACAGAATAAGGAAAGGAAAGGAAGCAATATACAAGGTTATGAAAATTAAGCTTTCTTTAATTTTAACTTGGTAGGACTCGATCCTGGTATAGTAACCCATGATTCTGATGAGGAAGATGATTTCTTGACTGAAGTATGGTGGGTCCATCATTTCTCAGCTGTGCAGACGGCAATCTCAGTGGTTAAGAGCACAAGATAGGGGCCTACTCAGGTGGGCTCAAGTTTCCCTTCCTTCCACCCTTTGATGAGAACATGGTCCCTGGGTTGGTGCTGGTGTGCTGGAAATTCTAGTGATGGCACCTGTGCTAAGAGACCTTTGATCTTAAGAGAAAAAAAGGTAGAGGAGAGACCAAGTATGTAATTTCTGAGGAACTGATCCTTAGTTTCAAACATAGGAACATTAGCTAGGAATGTAAATAGGGCAATCCATATAACATTTCATATGGAGACAGGCCTATATCCTTTCGAGGAGCTATCCTGATCCTCAATAAGACAATGGGAAGACATTTGGTCCATGGTAAATGAGTCTCTAGAATTAATTTAGTCAGATTATTCTTAAGGGTTTGATTCATTCTTTCTACTCACCTGGAGGATGAGGGATGCCAGGGAATATGGTATTCCCATTTTATGTCTAGCACTTGGGCCAGCTTCTTAATAATATGTGTCATAAAATGGTTTCCATTGTCTGAGTTAATATTCTCTATTAACACAAGGGGCAGTATATTCTCAATTAATGCTTTAATTACATTATTAGCTGTTCCATTTGGAAAGGAGATAGCTTCGATCCAGTGAGTGAGATGATCTACTATTACTAATAAATACTTCAGGCGACCGATTGGAGGCACTTCGGTGTAATCAACTTGAACACTTTGGAATGGTCTTAGCTCCAGATCTCATCCTCCAAGGGGTGATTTTCTTAGGGCTTGTTTATTAGTTTTCCTGCATGTTAGACAATTGTCTGTGACCTGTTTGACTAGGGTATAAATTCCAATACACTTATAAACTCTGAGAACCGTAGTTAAGACCTCCCTTATGAGAGGTTTGGATAATATCTCCCTTTGATCTGGTAATATCCATTTTCCTTTTGTGTTCTCTTTAGCTCCTATTTTTATTAGGTTTTCTTTTTCAGTGGAAGAGAAGATGGGGACTACAGTAGGGGAAGGAAGGCAAGGAGTTAAGTGAAAGACATTTCAGAAGAAACAGCAGTTTGTTTGGCTATCTGATCTGCAAAGTCATTTGGTTATTTCCCCAACTTGTGAAAAAAAAAAAAGTCCTTTTTATGCCCTGGGACATGTACAATAGCTAACTCTTCTGGCAACTGGAGATTGTC
Organism: Homo sapiens; assembly: GCF_000001405.40. Classification (NCBI taxonomy): domain Eukaryota; kingdom Metazoa; phylum Chordata; class Mammalia; order Primates; family Hominidae; genus Homo; species Homo sapiens. Next base: position 110,968,280 of record NC_000003.12, read on the forward strand.
TAGAACACAAACAATTAGTTCTTTGTGGACTAGATCTTGGTCTTTACCGTTAATAAGACCTTGCTCAGCCCAAAATTTTTCTAACTGTATGTGCTGCACCAAAGGCATACTTAGAATCAGTATAAGCAGTTCCTTCTTTGTTCTGCAAGTGTTTCAAAGCTTGGCTGAATGCAAACAGTTCACAGGTTGGGGCAGACTAATTATTGGGCAGTCTTCCTGACTCTACTTCTTCAAGAGTTTCTCCACCAAGGATTGAAAACCTGTTATGTTTTTCTCCTTTGACTATTTTGGAGGAACCATCTATAAATGAGTGTTGCCCTGTTTTAAAAGGGGCCTCTCCTAGATCTGGCCTGACTTTTGTTTGGTAGTCAATCAAACCTAGACACAAGTGTTCTTTTTTTTTTTTTTTTTTTTTAAGATTTGGGTCTCCTGACAAGAAACCTGCTGGGTTGAGTGAATTATCAGTAGTCAAGATGAAATCATCTTTTCCTAGCAAAATAGCCTTATATTTTAAGATTCTGGAGTCAGTAAGCTACCTTCCTGCTTTTTGATTTACAATAGCTCTAACTTGGTGGGGCATGCTTACAATTAATTTCCCCCCAAAAGGTTAATTTTCTACCTTCTTCAACTAATACTGCTGTAGCCACAGCTCTTTATTTTCCCTGTTTTACTCGGAATATTTCCTATCTTGAAGGTTTGGGGTGGTGCCTAACTAGAATAGGCCTTTTTCCTGGAGCTTTCAACCCCCCTTGCTGGAGGTTTCTAGCACTCCTGGGTGCACAGAAGGGGGCTCAACCTCTTCTACTAGAGGCTTCTCATCCTCCCTTCCTCTGGAGGCTTGCCAAGGGCCTTTTCCCATGTTTGATCCTAGATAAGTCCAATCCCACATACTAGGGATGTCTTACCTATCTTTCTCCCGGGGAGGCCCAATCCCCCAGATCCTTCAGACTGGAGATTTCTCACCTGTCCAGTCTTTAAAAGCTTGCTAAAAGACTCAATCTCTCAAACCAGAGATGTCTCGCTGATTCTCTTTCCCAAGAGGTTAACCTTCCTCCCTCTCCCTTTTGGAGGTCCCTTACATTGTTTCCGTCTGTGTTCACACATTCTGCCGAACAGCAGGACTCGTAGCACAGATAATCATTCACACATACACACAATTACTCATCCTCCAAAAGCTGACCACCAAGGAAGTACTTTGCCCCCCTCTTGCGGCTTTTCCTACCTTGGCCCACGCACGGAGTCACCTGGTCACCACGGTCCCACAAGCCTCTCTCTTTCCCCGCCGATGCTGAGACTCCAAGTATATTCCTCACACCAGGTAGGTCCCGGCTCTCCTGCTGGGGCCGCGGCAACAACGGGTGGCAGGGCACCTCCCCATGAGAGAGGGGCAAACACCATCCAAGAGGGGAATGTTATTCCCCATACGGGCCACCAAATTGTTGGGAACTAGTGCTCGGTGTTGCAAAAATCAACACTGAGACAAAGAATCTCTCAGCAAGGCTAGTTTACTTTCTGCAGAAAGGGTGCTGCTTGCTAGCAGTCTTGCCAGGAAAGCACACACGAACAAAGGAGACAGGGTCATTTATAACCTGACATGTCCACCCTACTGCTGTGTCCGATTTCCATTGGCTGGAACGGGACCTTACATTCTGTACTTGACCCAACTGGCTAGCAACTTAGAACTTCCCAAAAGAGGCAAAGGCAGAGGAAAACAAAGGAAGAGAGGAAGTAACTTGTGGAATGCTGAGAGAGGCAAAAACACTTCCAAATAAGGAAGAGGAATAGGCTATGACCTAATGCTTGCTTGGATTGGTTCAGGGATGCCAGGGCAAATATCTAGGCTAAAATGTGGGAGCTAAGAACACAGAGTATATTGGTTTCTTTATTACAGCTAGCAGATGTTTAAGAATATTAGCACAATTCTTTGAGTAAATTTTGCTTCTAAGAGAGGTTACTATCTATTCTCAATTAGACTGGGAGGAAAGTCCCTTTGAAGAGGAACCTCTACTTATTTTATTTTCTACAATGACCAAAATTAGATAAATTATTTTTGCTCCATAACATTCATTATTTTCTAACATACCATATGTTTAACCTACTTATGGTTTATTCTCTTAGAAAGTAATCTCCATCAGAAAGTAATCTCCACAAGGGCCGGGATTTTTGTCTGTTTGTTCACTATTGTATCATCAGCATCAAATTTTCTATCATTAACATTAAAACAGTGCCTGGTACACAGAAGATGCCTGGCACACAGGAGATGCTCAATAATTCTATGTTACAAAGTATGTTTGTTATATAAATCAGTTACCTAATTTAAGATGACCAACTTCTCTTGGATACAATATGAAATATTACAATCCCAACTTCTCTTGGGATACAATATGAAAATATATGACATTTTCATTATCTTTTCCCTTAACTGAATCCTCAAATTCCTAATTTTCATGTTTTCCCAGGAGAAGAATGTAAATGTTATTCTATCTTTCAACTGACAGCTTTTATTTACATTTTCAACGTTGGTTGCTTGCAAATAAAGAAAATTTAACTTAATTTCTTCATTTTTTCCATTAAGTAGTTGACTTTACAATCCCAATAATGCAAAGAAATTTTACATAAGACCATAACATTTAAAATTTACTAGAATGGTATTTATACACTGCCACCAAGTTGACCACAGAAAATCCCACGGGAGAACCAAGAAACACAAAGACACCACAGTCAGATATTTGACAGAGTTAATGTTGAATTAGATCTGGCCCCGTAAATAATAACTACGGACAATTGGATAGTTGGCTAATGGAACCAAAACATTACCTTTACTACTATTGAAAGCTCCAGTAGAGGTATGGGGCAGTAATGGACTTCCTCATTGTGAACTGCAGAAATGAGCAGACTAACCCCACGCAGTCACTGGCAGCACTGGATAAACGGCTAGACTTCCCCATTCAGAGCCTTTGGGTAAGAGACGATACCTGGTACAACACAGGGGAGCAGGCTTCGGTTTGCACATCCTTAGAAGTGCGCACTTCCAAGATGACTGGAAGGAGCAGAAACAGGCATGCCCAGTTCCTCCTCTCCTATCCCTTAATATGATCGAGTCCTTCTTCCTTGCTCAGGGAGGAGCCAGTGAGAAGTAAAGGATACCGTAAGTGTTACAAGAAAAGTCTTCCTCCAGGAAACTAGAGGAGCTGAAAATGAAGATTGTTCCTTACAGGGATCCTGAGCCTTGCCTCTGAGAACATCAGTGTGGCCTTTTTAAAGAATATTTGGAAGGAGAAAGGGCCCTCTCTCTGGGCTGATGTTTGAGATCATGGTATGGAGGTAGAGTGGAGGCCTGCAGTTTACACTCCAAGCAATATATCAGGGTGAAAGGAGAAATAGGTGCCTCTCTTTTCCTTGCCCCTCCTTTAGGGAATCAGAGACCTTTGGACACCATAGGCAACACGGTAAAATAGAATGAACCTTCTTATTGTAAATAAGTTAAATCCCAATATTTAATAATTAATTTCTAATTCTTATATTTATCAGAGTAATATATGCACAGAATTTAAAGGCTTGTAATGGAAACAGCAGTCCCCTGCCTCTAACTTATCCTACCATACAGTCACTTACAAGGTTGTGGATCTTTTTTCTGACATTTAACTTCATGTTAAAAAATAATATGCCTAATATGGTATGTCCTGATTTATCAAGTTAGGCTTCTGATTTTATCGTATTTGAAGACTATAGCAGTCTTACTCTGCTTTCTGTTTCTCCACCTAATACCATTAAAAATATATTTTTTATAAAGTTGGTATTTAGTATCTACATTGTTTTCTGCAAGACCATGTACTGTTACATTTTCTTTCTTAATTTCAGTTTTCCCTAAAGTTAACAGTTTCTTCCTTTTTTTTGTGCATCTTTAACGTTTTTTGGTCCATTTATAACTTTACTTGCAGCTTCCAACAATTCCTTGTTTCACTTTTCCATATAGTCACATTTATTTTTTTAAATATCCATGAGTTCTATGCTTTTCCAAAGTCACTCTACCTTCTCTTAGCTTGTTGCTAAGTTTGAAGCACAAAAGCTCTCATCCTGGCACTTTTCTTTGCCATCATCATGGAAAGTGCTTTCACCTCTCTAGTGTTGAATCTCCTATTTCCAGATTTGTCTTGTTTTTGTTTGGTGGTTTTGGTTTTGGAATTAACCCCTCATTTTAGAGTAACCACCTAAAAAATAGGGTAGGAGAGTAAACGTTTTTAGACATTACGGTGTTCTCACAATTTCTTTATAATTTGTTTGTAGATTGAGTCTGGGGAATGAAAATTGTTTTTATCAGAGTTTTTAAGGAATTCCTTCTGATGATGGCTGTGGAAAAATATGATGGCATTCTTAATCCCAATCTTTTATATGCAATCTGTTTCATTCTGTGAATAATTTTAGGATTGTCTCATTATCCTGCTGGTATGAATTTCATGAGGGCATACCTTGGTTTGGGTCTATTTTACTTTTTTTTCTTCTGCTTTTTGTTTTTGTAAATTAATTATTCTAATCCCTCAGAAGTCCCTTTCAATCTCGAGATTTATGCCTTTTATTAATGGAAATTTTCTTGTATTATTTTCTTGAGATTTTTTTCCCATTTTATTTATTGTCTCTTTATAGATCATCTATTAGTCATCTATAATAGATGGGGGATGTGTTCTCATCCACTATAAAAACTACTGGATTGATCTTTGATTTTTCTAAGCTTTTCTCTCCTTTTTACCTTTTCATTCTATTTTCTAAGAAATTTCCTTGATTTAACTTCCAAGTAGCATATTGATTTTTTTTATTATTTTAGGTATCATGTTTTATTTTCTACAACTTCATTCTTAATTTTCAGTAATTTACCTTTTTAGCATGTAGTTCTTTAATGAAAATGACATCATTTCATTTTTTTCTGAGAATGAGAATCATAATTTGTTTTTAATTTTTCTCTGATTCTTGTATTGCTTCTATTTTTGTGAATTTCTTTTTCTTTGTTTTATCTTCTTTCTTGTTGGGAGGAGTTCCTCAAATGTCAGGTTATCCTTGATGATTTATTCATATTTGAAAGTGATATACAATAAAGCTTATAGGAAACTCCATACGTGGGTGAGTCTTTTAAGAATATTTACTTCACTGTGCAGATTGGCCAGCTAGCTCCTTTTTTAGGGTATACAACATGTCAATATCTGTGGTTAGTTTCACTTTGGCTCTTCAATATCCTCAGAAAAGTACCCTCCCGGTTCCTGCCTCAGGAAGGAGGTGACTGCTGATTTTTCTGAGAGCTGTGCAGGAAAAGGGGGAAAGATGTGTTTTCATCATATATTGTACACTTTCACTTAATCTATTCTGATTTGATTTAGACAACTTACCCTTTGTGACTGCTAACCACAAGTCTAGTCCTTATGGTGACATTTCTGTGAAATCAAACCTTTCATCTCCTTTGGAGATGGCAGAAGGATGGGCACATGCTTCTCAGATAGGGGTGAAGGCCTGGATGTCTGCCTAATTTTAATTCATATCTTAAATCTATGTATATTTCAAACCAATTCCTTTGTTTTTAATCCCCATCATACTCCTCCTTCTTGATAACTGGTACCCCTAATATCTCAATATTTCCATGGTTTGACACATCAATAGGTTTGCACCTTATCTCCTTCTGCCTGCTTTTAAGATTCATTTTCCTGTGCCTTATTGTTTCTTTCATCCTCTTGTCATATTCCTCTCTAACTTTTCTCTTTCTTGCCTGTTGCAGTCTTCTCTTCAATTTTCATTGTATTGTCATGGATGAATCAGTATATTTTCTATACCTTCTTGTAATTTTGCTGGAAATTTGAGAGGGAGCAGAGATTAACACATTTGTTTCATCAGCCATGTTTACTTGACAGGCTTCAGTGAATTTTAAAGTTTCTCTACTAGGTTAGGTGATAGGAGGCATAGCAATAAGTAAAGGATTTGCTTTCTGCATGAAAACCTGAAGAATTAAATTAGACTCTTAAATAATAGTTCAGGAGTAACCCCAGGTAGTCCAAATGAATGGTCTAGGCAAGAAATAATATGACTGTTCAGATGAAGGATTGAGTGATATGTGACCTCGATGTTGAAGAATCAGTAGGCTCTAAAAATTTAGGAAGAATTGAGACTGTGTTCCAGGCCCAGGGAGCTAAAGAACTATGTGTATGAAAGATTACACCAAGTTGTGATGAAATAAGAACTTCAAATTCTAACACATTTTACACATATGATTTAAGTCTAGAATTGATCTATTCTAAATTTCCTTCTACCTATCAGCTCTCATAACTTCTAAAATGCTTTAATTCATTTGCTATAATTTTTTTCATGCAGTCAACATCTGAAATTATGATAATTTTTAGCTAGTTCTCGCCTAGTGTTCACCTCCAAAATGTTTTGTTAAAATTTACTCATCTAGCCTTATAGTCTGTTAATTTTGCTTTAATCTTCTGAATAACAAATAAAGTAATATAATGGGTATATTTCTCAAGGCTTTTTCCCAAAGTTCTAATAAATATCACATATGCATATTGAATTCTTAGCCATTATATATCTTTAGATGTTTCTCGAGAACAAGAAAGGGATACTTGTATTTGAGTGGGTAAAAGAGCCAGAAGTTGCTATTGTTTGATTTTACAACATAAAAACTTGAATAAATCCTTTCATAGCTTAAAATTTTAAAGTTTTAGGGCTTTACAGAAACTTAGAATTTTAATCAAAGCTTTCTAATATTTTTCAGTGCTGCCAAGATAAACAGCAACAGTTGTGAGATTTATCTGCAGAACACGTGGTTAATGACCTTTAAGGCAATTTGCCTCATATGTCAACAAGAAAAAAAATGTGAGCTATAACTATTGAGATGAATTGCTCTTGTTATTTTTGCCCACTTATGTTACTCAATATCTGGTAAAATAGATGTAACATAAGGGCATAGAGGTGTTTTTCAGAACAGTTTTTATCTTAAAAACGTCATTTTTGAAACTAATTATTAAGAAAATTCATTTTTTTTTGGCATTTTGATCTAAAATATGTCAGTGTTCCTCAAAGTAATTGGGTTACATTTTTCTACAAATGTGTATATTGGCTTATGTTAATCTTGGATGAACAAACTGTTACCATGAGATTGTGTTTAAAACAACTGGTGAGACTTGTGGAAAATACATTTCAACCACTAAAAACTTGTCTTCATATTACACATTTCGTCAGGCAACTCAAAGGGGCTTATAAGGCATTTGTTTGTATTAGAAATATCTTATAATATCTTGCAAATAATTTTTATTCTCTCCTGTAAGGAATGATTATGAATAAAATGTTACAAACAAGAAAACTGGAATATTGATGGAGTTATTCACTAGTAAAAAAACTGAACAGGTAGCAACAATTCTTACATTAGGTTCTGTGTTTATGATCCATGGTTATCAACAAAAGTAGGATAGTTTTGACAACTATCTAGGTTAACAATAGTCTACTGCATGAAAACAGAAGGGATTCTGGTACTCCAGAGTGTTTAGTAGGATACTTATAGGGTTTATAGTCATACAGGGCCGAGGTTAAATACTATCTACCAGCTCTGTTTTACCTGAGGCAAATTGCTTCACTTCTCAGTTTACTGATATAAATAAAGGTACCAAATCATGGCAAATAACAAATGGAGACTATTATTAACTTTTGTAACAGAGGTAAGAGTTAACAATGGGTGAAGACTTGTTGATCCTTACTCAAAATGGCAGAACCTACCTGTCTTAAAAGAGATAATTTAAGTGAAGAGAAATTTTGACAGATTTCTTTGCAAGAAATCTCTGTTCCCTTCTGCTCTGTATTTTAGACAGTACTGTGTAATTTTGCCTAATAACCTAAGGTTTTCTTGTTTTCTTCTATTGTATACAACAAAATGGTTGTCTTCATTGTTGCTAAAATTACATAACTAAAAACGAGTTACAGCTGGAATTCTAGAAACTCAAGGGGTTGGTTTGGCACTTTAATGGAGTACAGGTCATAGAATTACAAGAGATAGTAGTGGAGAAGTAGGCATAGACTAGAAAATAAAGAATTTTGAATGCCAAAATTAGGAGTTTGACATTTACCATGAAGACTATTGGAAGCCATTGGAGATTTTAAGGAGAAACTTATAGGATCAGACTCACATTTTGGAAGGATGATTCTGGCAGAAATGTGAAGAGTAGATACCAAGAAAATGACATTAGTGATAAAAGGACAAGTTAGGGGCCAACTGAAGGATTCCTGGTAATGCAGGATCTAATGACCCTGGAGGTGTGGCCATGGCTATGGGCATGAAAAGAAAGGGATACATTTTTTAAATCAGTTAATCTGTACTACAAGAAATCTTAAAAGAAGTTCTTTAGTCTGAAGTGAAATGAGACTAGATAAAAACTCAGACTTATACCAAGGAAAGAGAGCACTAGAAATGGTAAATATGCAGGTAAACAGAAAACATTTTCTTCCTGTTTCTCAATATCTTTAAAAGAAAATTTACTTTTTAAAATAAAATATAATTAAAATTAATTGTAGGAAATATAAAAGTACAAGTAAAATGAATAACAGCAATGACACAATAATCTAGAAGAGGATAAATGTAAGTATATTCTAAGAGTCTTAAATTATGCATCCTATGATAGCATATTAATTCCAGGTAGACTGTTATAAGTTATGGTTGCATATAGTAAATCTTGCAGAGACCATACACAAACAAGAAACCAAAGAGTTATATCAAAACTACATAGCCAAGAAATGAGATAAAATGAAATACTTATAAATATGAATTAGTCTAAAAAAGAGAGGGAAGGAAAAAATGAACAAAGAACAAATGGGACAAATAGAAAATAAAAAGAGAAGTGGCATAGTTAAATGTTATAATATCCATATCTATCAATATCAATAAACATGTTAAATGTAGTAGCACTGAACATACAAATTTAAAAGCAGAGACTGTCAACTGGATTTAAAAAGTGAGATAAAAATACATTCTGTTTAAAGGAAATGTCACTGAAATAAGTTGACATAGAGGGTTAAAAGTAAAAGAATAAGGAGGAAAAAAAACATGAAAATGTGACAAGCTGCTGTTTAAGTGACTATATTAATAGCAGACAAAATAGACATTGAGACAAAAAGTAGTAGAGATATAGAGGGACATTTGATAATTAAGAAGGAATTAATTTACCAAAAAGACATAACGATTGTTAATGTGTATGTACCTAGTAACAAAGGTTCAAAATAAAGCAAAAATCAAAACAGTGAAATAGAAATAGCTAAATTAGAGTGGGAGGTTCTAAAACTTCTCCTAAGGCATTGACAGAAAAACAAGACTGGCAAAAAGAAAGTGTAAAGTGTATGGAAGATTTGAACAACAGTAGCTACCAACTTAAACTAATTGATTTTATAGAATACTATATTCAAAAACGGGAGGATACAAATTCTTTACAAATACAGATGGAATATTTACTAAGACAAGGAATATACTTGACCTTACAGAAATACATTTCAAAGAATCAGAACAATACACATCATATTCTCTGGCTACAGTAGAATTAAATTAGAAGAAAAAAATTAAGATGCTTTAAGTAGATGCATATGCTTAGAAATTACACAACATAATTCTAAATAAGCTTTAGGGCAAAGAAGAAATTATAACAGCAATTTTTTACATTTTGAATTAAATGATAATGAAAACAAAATATACACAAATGTATGAAATATAATTAAACAAGGGCTTGGAGAAAAAATAATAGCCTTGAATATTTATATTAGAAAAGAAAGATTTTTTAAATTCATTATTTATGCTTCTACCTTAAGGAGCTAAAGAACAAATTGAATTTAATGTGAGTAGAAGAAAGAACATAATAAAAACCGAGGAGAAACCAATTTTTTAAAAATGAATTCAACAAAAACAAATTTGGTTCTTTGTCAGGATTAATAAAACCAATAAATCTCTAGTTAGACTGATTAAGAAAAAAATAGAAAACATTAATTACCCATATCAAAGTATA